>NC_000005.10:22126002-22429032 GCF_000001405.40 Homo sapiens | reverse complement strand
TTATAATAAATATATTTTACATGAGGAATAGTGAGAGGACAATTTCTTCTTAGTTGAGTTTCAGTAAAAATGTGATGTGAAAACAATGGTATAAGGTTGGCCTGAGCTTTTTAAAGCCTTGAGGATCATATGACTTTGATTTGAGGTCATCGGGAATCATCAACATATCCCTAAAGGCAGGCTGTTCTCCCAGTTTCATAGAGGATTTTTATGAAGGCTGGTGTGTGGATATGCTAGAAGAGAGAAGCAACCTGCTATACACTCAAGGTAGATTGACGACTGGGCCAGACAACTGACTGTGTTAGACCTGCTTTCCACTTTTCTCTTCCTCAGTTTCTTCATCTGCTCCGATTGCAATGCCTCTGGTGTTGGACCCAGGGCTAAGCACATAGTAAAGGACAAAAATCAAACTAACAGGAAACCTATCTACATCTATCTGTCGTGTATTTATATCACTGTCGTTGATCTAGTCACATCAGTTTCTTGGCTATAAATAATTTTAAGGTAAAGCACATAAATTTGATAGTTTCAACATCTCTTTCTCTATAAACACATACACACACATACATATCACACACACACACACATATATATATATGTGTATTCCTCTATAAAATTTTGGAAACACTGCAATAAACCATTTATCATGTGTATATTCCAGTATAACATTAATGTTCATACTCCATGTAAAAGAAAGGATAAAATATAGACTTTTAATGGAGATTGAGAGTTTCCGCTATAGATAAAAATGGATATATGATATCTATATATACATATGCTCACAAATATATGCACATAGATTGTGTGTGTGTGTGTGTGTGTGTGTATATATATATACATATGTGTGTATTTCTATCTATCTGTCATCTATATATCTATCTATGGAGTTTTATAGAATATTTCCTTTCAGAATTGGGCTCAAAGAAAGCTGTTATACATGGAGCTTGCTCTTCAATGTAACCACTGAAATTTTAAGGCTATAAAATAAAGAATAACTGGGTCCAGTTAAGTAAACACTATAGTAGAACCTACTAGTAGTCCCTCGATATGTGTTCTTCTTTTCTTTTATAGTAATAGAACCTTCAACTTTTAGCTCTGCATGTTCTTTCCCAGAATAAAAATGATATTTCACAAAATGACTTTTTTTTGGGTGAAGCTAGGAGTGCCTACTTCTAAACAATGGAAAGAAAGCAGATGTGTCCTATACAGCTTGGGAACCTTCGATAAAATAGACATGATACAACTTGTGCTTGTTCTCATTTTCTCCGCCTTCTCTCCTCCATTCCTGCTTATTGTAATGTGAGTGTGATGGATTGATATCTAGCAACCTTTTTTAACCACATTCTAGGGATATCAGACCATGAACTAGAAAAGGCCTTAACTCTTGAAGTCCCTTAAATTTATTCACCAAATAAAAGTCAATGTATCTACTGGATGTCTTGCAGGAACTTACTATAGAAATAGAGTAAAGACAAAGAAAAAGGAAAGCAAATAGAACACAGCTCTGTATTAAATCGTTTTAGTTCTATGGCTAAGTGGTCTAGTTCAGATAAAAAGTATTCCTTTTGGTCAGATGCAGTGGCTCATGCCTGTAATCCCAGCAATTTGGGAGGCTGTGGTGGGTGGATTACAAGGTCAAGAGATCAAGACCAGCCTGGCCAACGTGGTGAAACCCCGTCTCTACTAAAAATATAAAAATTAGCCGGGCGTGGTGGTGCGTGCCTGTAGTCCCAGCTACTTGAGAGGCTGAGTCAGGAGAATAGCTTGAACCCAGGAGGCGGAGGTTGCAGTGAGCTGAGATCATGCCACTGCACTCCAGCCTGGGTGACAGAGCAAGACTCCATCTCAAAAAAAAAGTATTCCCTTTATTCTCTAAAAGTATAGGGTTTGTACAAATAATTGATAGTGACTTAATCTTCACCCACTTATCCAGATATCCATCTCTAAAAGAGGAAAGAAGAGGAGGCAAAAAGTTATCACAGGGGAGAGAAAAGTGGTGAAGGAAAGAGGGGAAGAGAAAAGATAAATGGGAGAGGGGTGTGGAAGAGAAAAAGAGATAGAGGGTAGACGAAGGGGTTAGAGAGAGAGAGATGTTGAGGTCATGGTGGGAAGAATGAGAAAAAGAAAACATTTTGTTCTGTGAAATATCAGAATTAGTTTGTTTAGGTAGGAAATGCATCAGGTAAAACATCAAAGTCTTACAGTGTGGCTTTCCTAAAAGTCCCATTTTCTCTACCATGTATAATAATACAAGTGAAAGATGACTGTGGTGATATAACTAACTACAATGTGAGAAAAAAGTTCACTTTTAATTATAGGAGATAATTGTTCAAACTGATTGATATATTAAAATTATATTTAGGTTTATTTGTATTGCCAGCAAATTAAATAAATCCATCTGTATGCCTATAATAGCTACACTAAATAACTCCAGTATATTTATCCACAAACTAAATATTTAGTTAAATATTTGACTTACCTTTTTTGAAGGCAACTAGAATATTCGGGGGGTTCTTGCCTATCATTTTGTGTTTTATTTACTCCAGTAGATTTTGTCTCATGGGAAGTCAAATATTAAGGTAGTTATAAATAGAAAAGAACTATAAATTGACCATAGGCATAATACAATATTATATTTATGTGTAGTTTATGGAAATTCATTTTATTCTTTGATAACAAACAAACACAACAATATAAAAAATAAAATAAAACAATATAAAAATAAAATAAAACACAACAATATAAAAAATAAAATAGATTGGAACAGTTGTGGAACAAAATTAAATAAGACACCTGAAAAAGATAGTAGCTTTTATGTATCCTTTTTTTTTTTTTTTTCTTTTTTTTGAGATGGATTCTCCCTGTGTCACCAGGCTGGAGTGCAGTGGTGCGATCTCGGCTCACTGCAAACTCTGCCTCCCAGGTTCAAGCAATTCTCCTGCGTCAGCCTCCTGAGTAGCTGGAACTACAGGCGCCCGCCACCACACCCAGCTAATTTTTGTATTTTTAGTAGATACGGGGTTTCATCATGTTGGCCAGGGTGGTCTCGATTCCTTGACCTTGTGATCCGCTCACCTCAGCCTCCCAAACAATAGCACTGGATGGCATGGTATGCAAATGTGTGGAAATGAGATTTTCTAGAATGTTTGTGTTGACGATCCAGGAACATGTGAACCTGTGTCTGAACTTCTACAGCATACTTAGTGGTGTGCACCTCTGTGCGTGTCTGTACCAGGTAATTTGATTTTATGTAATTGCTAAATGAGAATATTCTTACCTTTAAATAAACTTAATGAAACAATAAATAATTTTTATTTTGATTTTTATATATAAGTAATATAAATTAAGAAAGTAAAGATCATTCTTCATGTGAAAAAATACAAGGTACAATCTTAACTAATACATTTTAGATATGTGAGCTATGTAATGTATTAAAGTGTATATATTTCTTCAAAGAAAACTGACGAACTATATTGTCATCGGTTGCTACTCATATCATATTTCATATTATAAGTGTAATTTATGTTTGAATACAAAATAGTTCAAACTATTTTTAGCACACCGCCTTCATATAATGACGCTGTGCTACAGGAACTGCCAGATCTCCCATTGATGCATTTCAGTACGACAGGGTAAAAAATAAATAAGTACACAGTACACTCGTTGACACACTATTATTAAGGCAAAAGAAAACCAGATAAAGTAAACAAAATAAAATGTAAACTACCACACTCACAAAACCATAAGAATAACAAACCTGGAAATAGCCTAGCTATTGTTAGTAAAAATGAATTATGAGGCCAATATCATGGAATCCTATGCATTTATTTAAAAGGAAAGAAGTATATATATATATATATTTATATATATATATATATACACACACACATATATATAATTTTACATATATATCATTTCATATGTAAAAATTCTCTCTCTCTCTCTCTCTCTCTCTATATATATATATATAAATGTAAAAATTCTCTAGCCTCTATCCAGTAAAAAAGCAATGTGCAGATATATCATGTATGGAAGAAATACCTATTTTAAATTTAATTTTCTTGATATAACTATATTTTTGTTTGGCATATTTTATATTCAAAATGAGTTTTAAACAGTTCATTTTTATGTCATATCTGATTAAAAGTCTTATTTATTCTTTATTTCTAAGATTTTATTATTTGTGGCTATGTTATGGTTATAAGCAAATCAATCAATATAGATATTCCATTAAATAAGATATAAAGAACAGATATAAAAGAATACTGTAGGAGATTAAACGAGTAAGACTATATAAGGTAGAGCAAGGCATAGGGAATTCAAAACGAAGGAATCTCATGAGCAAAGAATAATACAATTATTTGTAAGGAACACTGAAGAGTCCGTGAAGAGGGAACATACCATGTGTATCGGTTAACTCTGGTTGAATAACAAAGCCTGCACAATTAAATGGTTAAAAACAAATATTTATGGAATTCATGATTCTGAAGGCTGGTAAGTTCGGTGGGCTCAGTTGCATAGACTTTCTGGTGGCAGTTGGTCTTACATAGGTTTCTGTGGCCAGTTACCACTCAGTTGAGGCTGGCTGCCTTTGAGCTCGATCAGCAGGGGTAACTGGGCCATATAGCTCTCACCTCCAGTGTATTACCCTGGAGTTTTTCACATGTTGTCTTTCACAAAGTTCTGAAAAGCAACAAGAAAGAAACGCCGTACTCTGCAAGTGCTTTTACATCCTCTGATTATATCCTATTTGTTGTTAATCCCTTGGCCAAATTAAGGGATAGGCACAAGCCCAGAGACAGAGTAAGATCCCATTCACAGATACATGGTAAGAAGATGTAGGCACACAAGGAGGAAGAATTTGTGGTGAATTGTACAGCCTACCACATCTGGTGCTCTGGACATTTAAATTTAAATTTAAATATTTAATAAATAAATTTTCGTGGATACCTCAAGCATAATGCAGTCACCCTCTTTTTTTTTTCTTTCTTTTTCTTTTCTTTTCTTTTTTTTTTTTTTTTTTTTTTTTTGAGACAGAGTCTCGCTCTGTCGCCCAGGCTGGAGTGCAGTGGCGGGATCTCGGCTCACTGCAAGCTCCGCCTCCCAGGTTCACGCCATTCTCCTGCCTCAGCCACCCAAGTAGCCGGGACTACAGGCGCCCGCCAACACGCCCGGCTAATTTTTTGTATTTTTAGTAGAGACGGGGTTTCACCGTGTTAGCCAGGATGGTCTCCATCTCCTGACCTCGTGATCCACCCGCCGCGGACTCCCAAAGTGCTGGGATTACACGCTTGAGCCGCTGCGCCCGGCCAGTCATCCCTTTCACTACCACAAAAAGTGGCATCCAATCACAGCATCAGGCTTGAAGTTTGGGATCTCATAATCTCTATGATATTTCACTTGGCTTTTTGAATTCTGTTGTTTTTGATCAAGTAACTGTCTCTCTTTCCCTACATGCGTACAAACACTAAGTACACAATTGTGAGACAAGAATAGCTTTTCTACAATAGACCTATCCCACATTCAAAAAGTGTCAGGATGGTAAGAAACACAAAGTGACTTGTTCCTAGTTATTCTGAAATCCCCAGGGGAAATATTGCCAGGATTACCTACTCTGGAGCACGAGTTTTTCTAGACTGGATCCCAGTTCTGATCTCTCAGAGTGGCTCCAAGTCTCTTGGTTTCTGCACATCTCAGGAGTGGTTCTCAGATTCTCAGAAGTAGTATTTGCATAGCTGGTATGCCATAGGTCCTTTTAAGGGGGCCCAAATAAAAGCTATCTTCATAAGTTCGCTAGGGTATTATTTGCTTTTTTTTTTTTTTTTTACTGTGTTTACATTTGTACTGATGATTGAAAAACAATGGTGTGTAAAATTAGCACAAATTGTGATGGAGATAACCTCCACCAAGGGTATTCTTCACCAACACACACACAAAAGGGAAGAAAACCAGTTTTACTTTGTCCTTGTTGAAATCACACAATTATTAAATTTCAACCCTCTAGTATTTGATAGCACAATTGGGTGACTATAGTCAATAACAGTATTCAATGATTTAATATACTCTGTCATGAAATGGGAATTATGCATAAAGAACATTTGCTACATATTGAAGTGTAACACTTCTATCAAGAAAAATAATATATATAATGGAGTTCCAATCCGAATTACAGCAGATTTTCTTCCTGGAATCTAGTTTTTTACTCAAATGGATAACTGACAACCTATGACAATTCAGACTGAGGTATTTCATGGATAATTTATTGAAAATGAATGCCCATCTGTAACTTCAAGAAGGACAAATGACTGTATTTGTAGCCAATGACAAAATTTGAGCTTTTGGCACATATTTGAATTTAAGACAAATTTTTCCCACCATCACAAGCTTGCCAGGTTCTCAATATATAAAAAAATCTTTTTATTAGATCCATGGTAATATTATACAAGTGTTATTTGTTGATATCGTATCATGCAATGTGTCATCATTTACAACAAAAAAAGGAAACCTTAGGCCAATCCTTCTGATGAACATCAATGCAAATATCTTCAAAAAAATACTGGCAAACCGAATTCAACAGCACATCAGAAAGATTATCCACCATGATCAAGTATGCAAGCCTGGTTCAACATATGCAAATTAATAAATGCGATTCATAATATAAACAGAACTAAAGAAAAAAACTGCATAATTATCTCAATAGATGCAGAAGAAGCCTTCTATAAAATTCAACATCCCTTCAGGTGAAAGACTCTCATTAAACTAGGTATTAATGGAACCTACCTCAAAATAGTAAGAGTCATTTATGACTCTTACTATTTAAACCCACAGGTAATATCATACTGAATAGGCAAAAGCTGGAAGCATTCCCCTTGAAAACTGGCATAAGACAAAATGCCCTCTCTCACCACTCCTATTCACCGTAGTATTAGAAGCTCTGGCCATGGCCATCAGGCAAGAGAAAGAAAGAAAGAGAATTCAAAGAGAAATAAAGAGTATTCAACCCCATCAAAAATTGGGCAAAGGATGTAAACAGACACTTCTCAAAAGAAGACATTTATGCAGCCAACCAACATATGAAAAAAAGCTCATCATCACTGGTCATTAGAGAAATGCAAGTCAAAACCAAAATGAGATACCTTCTCACACCAGTTAGAATGGTGATCATTAAAAAGTCAGTAAACAACAGATGCTGGAGAGGATGTGGGGAAACAGGAATGCTTTTACACTGTCGGTGGGACTGTAAACTAGTTCAACCATTGTGGAAGACAGTGTGGTGATTCCTCAAGGATCTAGAACCAGAAATACCATTTGGCCCAGCAATCCCATTACAGGACATATACCCAAAGGACTTTAAAACATTTTGCTATAAAGACACATGTACACGTATGTTTATTGCAGCACTGTTCACAATAGCAAAGACTTGGAACCAATCCAACTGCCTGTCAGTGATAGACTGGATAAATAAAAGATGGCACATATACACCATGGAATACTATGCAGCCATAAAAAAGGATGAGTTCATGTCCTTTGCAGGGATATGGATGAAGCTGGAAACTATCATTCTCAGCGAAATAACAAAAGAACAGAAAACCAAACACCGCATGTTCTCATTCATAGGTGGGAGTTGAACAATGAGAACACATGGACACAGGGAAGGGAACATCACATACTGGGGCCTGTCAGGGAGTGCAGGTTAGGGGAGGGCTAGCATTAGGAGAAATACCTAATGTAGATGACAGATTGATGGGTGCAGCAAACCACCATGGCACGTGTATACCTGTGTAACAAAACTGCAGGTTCTGCACATGTATCCCAGAACTTAAAGTATAATAAAAAAATTTTAAAAAGAAATAAAAGGTATTCAGATAGGAAGAGAGGAAGTCAAACTGTCTCTGTTTGCAGATTACATGATCCTATATCTAGAAAACCCGACCATCTCAGCCCAAAAGCTTCTTAAGCTGATAAACAACTTTTCAGCAAAGTCTCAGAATTCAAAATTAATGTGAAAAAATTACAAGCATTCCTTTACATCAACAATAGACAAGCAGAGAGCCAAATCATGAATGAACTCTCATTCACAATTGCTACAAAAAGAATAAAATACCTATGAATACAGCTAACAAGGGATGTGAAGGACCTCTTCAAGAACTACAAACCACTGCTCAAGGAAATCAGAGAGGACACAAACAAATGGAAAAACATTCTATGCTCACAGATAGAAACAATCAATATCATAAAGATGACCATACTGCTGAAAGTAATTTATAGATTCAATGATATTCCCATTAAACTACCATTGACATTCTTCACAGACTTATAAAAAACTACTTTAAAATTAATAGTTTAAAAGTATTTTGAATTTTATTCAAAAAATCAGCCTGTATAGCCGAGACAATCTTAAGGAAAAAGAAAAGGCTGGAAGCATCACACTAACAAACTTCAAACTATACTATAAGGCAAGAGTAACCAAAACAGCATGGTGCTGGTACAAAAACAGACACATAGACCAATGGAATAGTATAGAGATCTAAGGAATAAGACCACACATCTATAATCATCCAGTCTTTGACAAATCTGACAAAAACAAACAATGGGGAAAGGATTCTCTATTTAATAATGGTGCTGGGCAAACTGGATAGCCATACGAAGAAAATTGAAACTGGACCCCTTCTTTACTCCTTATACAAAAATTAACTAAAAATGGATTAAAGACTTAAATGTAAAACCCAAAACTATAAATACCCTAGAAGAAAATCTAGGCCATACCATTCAGGACATAGACATGGGCAAAGATTTCATGAAGAAAACGTCAAAAGCAATTGCAACAAAAGCAAAAATTGACCAATGGGATATAATTAAACTAAAGAGCTTCTACACAGCAAAAGAAAATAGCATCAGAGTGAACAGACAACCTACAGAATAGGAGAAAATTTTGAAATGTATCCATCTGACAAAGGTTTGATATCCAGAATCTACAAGTAACTTAAACAAATTTACAACACACACACACACCAAAACAAACAAACAAACAAAAAAAAACCCCATTAAAATATGGGCAAAGGACAAGAACAGACATTTATCAAAAGAAGACATTTATGTGGCCAACAAACATGAGAAAAAGTTCAACATCACTGATCATCAGAGAAATGCAAATCAGAACCACAATGCCATACCATCTCATGCCAGACAGAATGGTGATTACTAAAAAGTCAAGAAACAGCAGATGCTGGTGAGGCTGTGGAGAAATAGGAATGCTTTTACAGTTTTGGTGGAAATGTAAATTAGTGCAACCATTGTGGAAAACAGTATGGCAATTCCTCAAATACCTACAGCTGGAAATACCATTTAACTCAGCAATCCCATCACTGGCTATATACCCAAAGCAATATAAATCATTCTATTATAAAGACACAAGCACATGTATGTTCACTGCAGCGCTATTTACAATAACAAAGGCATGGATTCAATCCAAAAGCCCATCAATGATAGACTGGATAAAGAAAATGTGGTACATATACACCATGGAATACTATGCAGCCATAGGAACAAGATCATGACCTTGGCAGGGACATGGAAGGAGGTAGAAGCCATTACCCTCAGCAAACTAACACAGGAACAGAAAACCTAATACCACATGTTCCCACTTATAGGTGGGAGCTTAACAATGAGAACACATGGACACAGGGAGGGGAACAACACACACTGGGGCCTGTCAGGGGGTGCAGGGGAAGGGAGATCATCAAGACAAATAGCTAATGCATGTGGGGCTTAATGTCTAGGTGATGGGTTGATAGATGCAGCAAACCACCAAAGCACACCCGTGTTTACCGGTGTAACAAACTTGCACGTCCTGCCCATGTATCCCAGAATTTAAATCCAGCAGCACATCAAAAAGCTTATCCACCACAATCAAGTCAGCTTCATCCCTGGAATGCAAGCCCGGTTCAACATACACAAATCAATAAATGTAATCCATCACATAAGCAGAACCAATACAAAAACCACATGATTATCTCAATAGATGCAGAAAAGACCTTCGACAAACTTCAACACCCCTTCATGCTAAAAACTCTCAATAAACTAGGTACTGATGGAACATATCTCAAAATAAGAAAAGCTATTTATATTTATTTATTTATTTATTTTTGTTTTTTGAGTCTCACTCTTGTAGCCCAGGCTGGAGTGCAGTGGTGTGATCTCAGCTCAATGCAACCTCCGCCTCCCAGGTTCAAGCAATTCTCCTGCCTCAGCCTCTTGAGTAGCTGGGATTACAGGAGCCTGCCACCATGCCGGGCTAGTTTTTGTAGTTTCAATAGAGACGAGTTTTCACCATGTTGGCCAGGCTGGTCTCGAATTCCTGACCTCAAGTGAACCTCCCGCTTTGGCCTCCCAAAATGCTGGGATTACAGGCGCGAGCTACCGTGCCGGGCCAATAAGAGTTATTTATGACAAACCCACAGCCATATCATACTGAATGGGCAAAAATTGGAAGCATTCCCTTTGAAAACCGGCACAAGACAAGGATACCCTCTCTCACCACTCCTATTCAACAGAATATTGGAAGTTCTGGCCAGGGCAATCAGGCAAGAGAAAGAAATAAAGGTATTCAAATAGGAAGAGAGGAAGTCAAATTGTGTCTGTTTGCAGATGACATGATTGTATATTTAGAAAACTCCACCATCTCAGCCCCAAATCTCCTTAAGCTGATAAGTAACTTCAGCAAAGTCTCAGGATACAAAATCAATGTGCAAAAATCACAAGCATTCTTATACACCAATAATAGACAAACAAAGAGCCAAATCGTGAGTGAACTCCCATTCACAATTGCTACAAAGAGACTAAAATACCTAGGAATATAACTTACAAGGGATGTAAAGGACCTCTTCAAGGAGAACTACAAACCACCTCTCAAGGAAATCAGAGAGGACACAAATGGAAAAACATTCCAGTCTCATGGGTAGGAGAATCAATATTGTGAAAATGGCCATACTGCCCAAAGTAATTTATAGATTCAAAGCTATCCCTATTAAGAACTTAAAATAAAATTAAATAAAGTTTTTAAAAAGGGTACACAAATAAATTACCCGCATTTCCAGGTAACCCATGTATGGTATCCCAAAACCATGAATAGCAACAGATCTATTCAAACTGCAAGGTAATGGTATGGATTTTAAGAGTCCGTGACTTTTCAAGTTTTGAGCTATTATTAGATAAGAATATCCAAAATAATGTAAAAAGGTTATGAAAATACACTTCCATTTTTATTCTATATATTTATCAGAGGCCATATTTTCTTTATATATTTCAACCACAGCAACATATCACAACTGATAGAATGCAGAAGAATGCATGAGAATTCAGATTTATTCTATTTATTCTATCATAAAAAAAGACTTGCTGTCCTACTTTGTTTGGTGCCACTATAACAAAATACTTGAGACTAGATATTTGTAAGAATGAAGATGCATTTCTTATAGTTCCAGAATTGGGGAAGTCCAGGATGAAGGAACTCATATCTGGCGAGGGCCTTCTTGCTACGTCATCCCATAGTGAAAGGCGGAAATGTGAAAGAGTAGGCATGAAAGAAAGAAAGAAAAGGAAAGAGGCTGGATGAGGCTGAAATCATCCTTTTATCAGCAACTCACTCCTGAACTTATCCAGTCCCCCAGTAATTGCATCAATGCATTCAGAAAGGCACGACCCTCATAACCTAATCACCTCTTGAAGGTCCTAACTCTCAACCCTGTTGCATTGGACATTAAGCTTCAGATACTTGAACTTTAGTGGACCCATTGAAACCATAGCACCTGAAAATGTAAAACAATGCTACTTTCTCTACTCAAATTATTATGTTTATTTTTTCTTAAAATGCAAAATGATATCAGTTAGTAGGTTTATTATTGTTTTAAATAAACATTTTCAATTCACAGTTTTAATATCTAATTGGTAAATAAGAGAGATAAAAGAATCAAAAGAATGAAAAGCTCTCTGGAGCCTAAATAATATATATGAGAACAAAGAAGTCTTGAGACTAATATGTTTAAGAACATCAAATGTAGTCCATAATTATCTTTAGCCCATGGCTATAATCTTTGAAAGGATCATTTTCATTAAAAAATATCTTAAATTTGTAGCTGAAGAGCTTTCTAATTCTGACTACAAAAGATAGAAAGTTAAAACCGTACAGTCCTGTCTTGGTGTTAAACTTAGTCTCTTTCAATTTCAGATGGCAGGACAATTCCCTTAAAAACATTGCAAATTTCTTATTTGGGTCCTTGCTATGACCTAAAAACCACACTTACAATTCCTTTTAAGGTAAGCTTCTTTCTACTTTGGGTGGCCAGGCTAGTGTAATACTAATCTTATTTTTTTTATGTATTCCTTTCTTTTTCTAGCTGGGAGGTTATACCACTCACTGACAAAATCTTTCAAAGGTCTCAACCAAGTGTATTGCAGCTACACTTTTGATTTGATCTTTAACCTGAGGTCATTTGTACTTCCTTTCTGGTTTGAAAAATGGGGATTGAGAATGAGTTTAAATTTCCAATGCACGCCAATAACTCATCCTTCTCTTTCTGAGCATTACCATACGTAGTATATAGATGTCCACTGGCACTTTTTATCATATTCCAGAAAAATCACCTTATCAAGACCTACAGGCCGGGCGCGGTGGCTCACGCTTGTAATCCCAGCACTTTGGGAGGCCGAGGCGGGCGGATCACGAGGTCAGGAGATCGAGACCATCCTGGCTAACACGGTGAAACCCCGTCTCTACTAAAAATACAAAAAAATTAGCCGGGCGTGGTGGCGGGCGCCTGTAGTCCCAGCTACTCGGGAGGCTGAGGCAGGAGAATGGCGTGAACCTGGGAGGCGGAGCTTGTAGTGAGCCGAGATTGCGCCACTGCACTCCCGCCTGGGCCACAGAGCGAGACTCCGTCTCAAAAAAAAAAAAAAAAAAAAAAAAAAAAAAAAGACCTACAAGTACATTACACTTGTTTTATATTTCAATTTAAAACAGGGAACAGTTTTTACCATTTTTTCCACAACTATATAATCTGGGTCACCATTTAGCAAATCTACTTTAGCAGTTTACTCTCTGCTTTCGTAGTTCAATTTTTTTTTTTATTGTTTTGTTTGGGATAGTATCAAGTCTTTGCTGACAATTTCCTAGACTCTTTTGTATTGCCAACCAAAACCTGATCCTGAATCCAATGCCAAATGTTTTAGGATATTTTTAATAGTAGCACCCCACTCCTAGAACCAATTTTTGTATCAGTAAAACTTGTGATACATAATATAACATTTGTGTATCTTTTAATTCTTTGTTGGTACTTTGATTGCTCTCAGACTCAAGTGGGTTCACTCATTTTTCTGGGGCCCGCTGCCTCTCAGCAGGGCAGCCCTGTTCCTAATGAAAGTACCTGGGCCATTTGTTTTTCATTTTTCAACAAGCCAGCCTGGGCTTCTTCAGTGAATAGTATTCATAGGAATCCCAAAACAGCAAGAAAGAGGACAAATCACACTATGTAAGAACTTTTCAAGCCTTTGTTACTGTCATTTTCATTGACATCTCATTGAACAAGGCAAGTCACATGACTGGACCCACAATCATAATGGAAAGCAAAGTTTCACAGAGGTGAGTATGGACACAAAAGGGGGAAGAATGTGTGGCCATTTTTGCAGATTTACCATAAAGCAATATTGAGTTATTCTCTAATACTGTGGACAGCTTGTTCTTTTTAAAAATTAAGTTTTAAAATTATAATGGGAATTACTTCCCATATGTGTCAATTTTCAAAAAAAAACATTGTGTCAATTTTCCCCTTTATTATTTCTTTATTACTTATTTTTAGGCACTTTAAAAATACTACCTGAGCTACTTATAGAATGAATACAAATATCTAAACATTTTCAACATTTGGCCATTTTATTTTAGTATTGCTTTCATGCTAATCTGCAAAGTCTAAAAGTTTAAGAGATTATATTTGCAATGGAGATGTGTATCCACCCTATATGTGAGCTGATACATATTTTAGTAATAGAAATGAGTCATCTAAGTTTTGTCTACTAAAGGGATATATTTGTTACTAAATAAGCAGCCTTCATTTGACTTTTGTAACCCTACATAATGTTATTAGTTGTATTAAAAACATATTTAATTAACTCAAATTATTTTAAAATAGTCTTCTAAAGCTTTTTTTCACTTTTTTGTTTCTATTAAAATTTTTATCATTAGAAAAAGTAAGTCCAAAACTGCATTTCATTTTATTTTAGAAATTTAATAATTAAAATATAATAATTATGGTTGAAACTATAACTAATAATATGCAATGTGCTTTTCATTTACTGAATCAGTAATTCAATAAAATTACCATAGCAAAGGTTTTCATTTTAAATATATAAATTACCTGAAATAATGTTAACAATTAGAAATTTTTCATGAGTACAAGGAAAAATTAATTTCTATGAGAACCTTACATTTCAACCCTACCCCACTAAGAATTTAAGCTACCAATACCTCTTTGCTTTTGAAAGATTCTATTATTGTCTATCAATTATTGTATAGAAATATGGCACATATAATGCAAAATCTTTAGTGGAAGGAAAAATTTTACTTTGACATATTGAACTGGTTAATCTTTATTCAAACAACAATGTCAAAATATTGCAAGAGTTTGAATAAGGGAAGTCCTCCTATCATTAAAACAGTAATTGATAGAGGTTAACATCATATGTCTAAATATCATTTTGCATCTTTCTGATAACCAAATAAGTGCAGAATCAAATGGACAAATTGAATTCATGTACATTCATTTTTTAAAAATATTTCTTTTGATTATGTAGAGTTATGTTTGCAGACCTCCATTGAGTTTTAATTCTAGGTATTCTTGCCTATGGAATTAGCTCAAATATTTTCAGTTTGGAACAAAACATACAATTATAAATGTGAAATATGTTCAGTTATGTACTCACACAAATTATAAACATAAATTATCTGATTAAAAATTATTTTGTTTGAATTTGAGGACTAAATGTAATTAATAATCAGCCTGAAGAAAATTTTTATTTAAAAGTTTTTGAAAAGCAAAAAGTATAAAACATAAGTGATGTATAAAGAGAGAGAGAAAGGGCATTCAATATTATGTGTGAAGAAAAGAAAACTTAGATTCAATTTGAATTATTTTCTCCAAAATAGTGACATTAAGTTATTAAAAACTCTGAGAAAAATTAACAAATTGAAAAATCGGGAAAAAAAGTAAATAAAATAGCAGAAAGCTGATAAAGTAATGTGAATAAACTTTCTATATGTATGTGTGTCTATATGCTATGCTAATGTAAAGAAATGCTATTATTTTAAAACACAATTTTGCCTTAAGCCCATATGCCATAGCTATTTTTCTGCAGCTTTTCAGCACAGCCAGATTTGTTGAAATATAACTATGAAAATATTATGTCTGCATCCTCACTGCCCGTTTATTCACTTTTCAAAGCAATATAATTTTACTTCGACCCCTATCCTTCCACAGATACCTCTGTAAAAATAGTCACTCATAACTTTCATGTTGGTATAGTCAAAATTACTTAACAGTTTTGTGGCATTTTCGGCTTTTGTCCACTCTTTCTTGTTGTTATTCTGATCTCTCACTATTCTCCTTAGCACTCTGTCCTAGTTTTCTTATAAATCTTCTAGCCATGTTTATCCAACATCTTTGCCTTGTTCTTAAATTCTAATGCATTTTGAGCTTACTACTTTTCCCCTTTGGACTTTTCATGCCATACATTTTCCCTGGGAGATGGTCTTTCCCTCACATAGCTGCAAAAATCGTTTAAATTTTGATGATTCTCAAATCTGTATCTCTACCTCTCTATCTCTATCCTCAAACTTTTCTCAGTGTGGGAACTGGACAGGAGTAGTAAACAAAGTTAAGCACATAAAATATTGAATGGAATATTGAATAATAGCAAAAGCAATGACATATTTAACTTTCTACAAGAGTTATTGTGAATGAAAGAGAAAGATGTCAATGAAAGACAATGATAGCTGATTCCATAGTAACATAGGCTGGAAGGAGGATTATTCTGATGATGGATGAACATCAACTATTTTAATATTTTGATGGAAGCAGGCAGAAAAAGGGAAACATTAAAAATACAATAGACTATGAATTACAGATGGAGCAGAATCCCTGCAGAGGAAAGAATAGAGGTATAAAGCACAGGTGGAGGAAATGTCCTTTGGCATAAAAAGGTACATTATTTCCTCAAAGAAAAGATTGAAACATGGATGCTTGTTTATACAGAGTTATAGTATAGCCTAAGTGTGCCCATGGCCGTCTCACCTCAATATTAAGCAGCTTTTTATATTATATGACTTTTTCTTCACTTAACTCTGCCACAGTTTCCTCCTCAATAATGTATATGACATATACACAATCTTTCTTATGATTGTGATTAAAGTCATATAAAACAGAGAAAACCTGTAAATGACAAAGATATTTATAAACAATAAAATCACAAATAACTGTTTTGATAAAGAAAAAGTGTTTAGCTTATGGAGGTGGGTTTTTATTCACCATTTTTGTGTGCTATAGCCCTATTCAGAATGACATTCTAATAATGATTAACTGTAATAGTTAACGGTGTGTGGTCCTATAAAATAAACCGAAAGACATGAAACATTTCTGAATTGCAATAGAACTTTGAAATCTAATTCAGTTGACTTATAGCAGATGGACACAGGCTGAGTAATGTATGTTTTTATAGTAATATCATGTGAATATGATGATTGGCATTCGTCTTAAAACCCAGCAATATGTTTTTACCTCTACTGGAATTAGAATGGTGGAAGCTAGCTGATTGTTATGCATTATAAAGGCAGGAAGACAGTGATGGCATGAATACTGCTATTTTCTTGGAAAGATGATCAAAATTTGACAGATGTCTCTCTGTGAAATTTCTGTCTGTCTACCTATGATGGTGTAGGAATAAATTTTTTAATTAGAAACAATTGTGCTTTAAAAGCACATTGCACATTAACTTGTATATTCTATTTTCATTTACAAACTGAATACGAGGAATGCCTTTAGAGAAGAAAACCAAAACATTACAACTGAGAAAACAGAATTAAATCTTTATCCAGTTAATCAAATTTAGTCATCAAGCCAACAGAGAAATTGATGAGGTAGTCTCTGAAGTATTCATAAAAATTCACACAAACCTATCCTCTAAAATGATTATTTTCCGGGAAGCTATGTAAGAACCAGGGCTCTTTTATTAAAGTGTAACATCAATTAAAGCTGTCTTGTCTAGATTTCTAAAATATATCAGCAAAAATGCTGGGTCAAAACTATGTGAGTGAAAAAATAAATACACTCTTCAATAATATAATTCAATCAATTTCGTTGGTTTGATTACTACAGCTTATGTATTTTTCTTAAATTGTCCTCTGGGGAAATATAATGTTGAAATATAGTGAAATAGCTTTAATCTTTTGAGCTCGAATTATGCTGACTGAAATATCTTTATGAAGGTTTATTTATGCTTAAAAATCACATGGTGAAGTTTACCATGAAGATCTGCAGATCTCATGGACTGTCAGAAAGATTAAGGTGTGAAACCTCTTTCCTACCATTTACTAATCATACTATTTAAGTAAATGACTTCAGGGAACCTCAGTTTATCATCCATAAAATTAAAATGATGATTCCTATCTGCTTGATGTATTGTAATAATTAGCAATACTATACAGTCCCTGGATTATAGTTTTCCATTGGTATATAGAATTTATTAATATGCAGTTTTATACTATGTAATACATTTCATATGTTTTTAATTTATAAATGGATTTTTATAGGTGAAATAAACTCATTATTTTGATTTTTCCTTTTCTATTTTATTTCTTGCCTTTATTTCCATTATATATCTTTGTATATACCTGACCAATTTATCTCTACATACTTTACAATCAGAGGTGTCAACATTCCTTTTTGTAGAGTACAATTATCCCCAAAATTATGTTCTTTTTCCTCTAAATTCCATCTTTTCCATATCCTAGACTCACTTTTATTTCCATTTTTAAAAATCTATTTCATTGTTCTCATAATCTTGGCCAACTGGAAACACAGATTTCTTTGCCACTCCTTCCCCCAGCCTTCATTGGGTCAGCTGCTATCTCTCCTCTTTTAGAATGTCTCTTCTATCTCAGAGTTTGTTTGCATAAAATTTAACATACAAAATCTCTTCTGTATCCCAAACATGTTTTTTTAAAGAATAATCTTCTTCATGTCTAGCATTATGTTCTTTATTGAAATTGAAGGGGCCAAGAGGAATTGGCCCTCTGAAGGTTTGCTGAAAAATCAACTTGCAAAAGGCAGATTAATTAGAGAAAAAACATGCAAATTTATTTAATATGTATAAATGAGAGCCTTCAGAACAAAGACCCAAATATACAGGGGAAATGGTCTATTTTTATACTTAGGATCAACAAAATATAGATAGCCATGTAGAAGTATGATTGGACAGAAAGGATATGATCTAATGCTGTGAGTGGGGAAACCCAGCAAAACCTCTCTGTGCAGATTCTTCTTGGCCTCTCTCAGTGACATTTCTTCCCTGCGAGTCTGGGGCAGGACCTTCTCTGGAATGGAAGTCTTATGACCTACAGTCAAACAAGATAGGTCAGATAATTTTTTATGGCCAGTTTTTACACAGAAAGGCAGAGGGAATGTTAGAGTAATATTTTTAGGTTTTATGGTTGGCTCTGGGGAAAACGGATTCTGGTTTTTATGACCTACCTTGGGGAAGAAGGATTTTTGTTTCTGTGCCTATCCTTGGGGGAGAATGGAACTGAGAGACAGGAGGGCAGGAGAAGGTCAGAGATAAACTTTTGCTTCTGTGGCTTTCATTTTGAGGTATTGTTCTCTGAGCCCCAACAAAGTAACATGCAGGCTTTTTATCCTGTCATTTTTACTATTCACAATCAAATCAAAATCTGTTTTAATTAAACTAGTGAGAAAAATTGTAATAAAAAATAATTTGTATTATCATCATGTTTATAAAGTAGAAATCATCATCCGCACTTTTATAATGCCACCATGTACCAGGTAATCTAAGCATTTATCTTCGAGCTGTAAATAAATAACACTAATTGATCCAGACACCCTTCCCCAGAACTACCACTCTCAGCCTCAAAACCCTTATTAACACCATGCTCAGGCTGACCACTAGTCATGGGGTAGGAGTGGTAAGAAGGCTTTAGCCTATCCTTTTCTCCAAAACAATTAAGCTTCTTTGCTGTATTTCAGTATCTCATCACACCACTGAAATTATATTAATTTTGTAGAAGAAACATTGAGTAGAATCAATAGCTTAGTCCTCAATTATAATATAGAAGAAACTTAAAACATTATTTAAGCAGAAGAAAGACCCTCACCATTGGTTGTTAACATGGATTTTTGTCACAAGAAAGAGAAAAGTATTATGACTCTAGAGTTATGCTGTATTTTTTTCAAATCAATATAATATGGTATTCCAAACCAAATAATTAGTGATATCCTAAACTTGGAAAATAAGCTAGTTTTCAATTGGTTTTGAATTGGAGAAATAAGAAATAAGAATAATTGAAATATGGGGTATCTTTCTCTTTTTATTTTATTATATTTTTAATTTATAGACACTCTTTGTATATGCACTCAGACCTTAGAAACATGCTGTGCTACAAGTGTATACCTCAGATAAGAAGACTTAAAAATACAAGTGAAACCATATGTAAGCAGTTTCTCTAGAAGGAGAAGAAAAATACAATTTTAAATGTCAAAGAGGCTTGGCTCTTTTGGAAGCCTTTAATATCAAGACGAGAGTGCTAAGAGTATACTCTAACTCTTTAAAAACTTACATATGAGACTTTTACTATCTTATTTTCCTTGCACAAAAGATACCTTTAAATATTTGCAGGGGATCCCTAAGGATGCATTTTGCTGTATATGTAGATAATTTTCTGGAAGTTTTTATTAAGATACTAATATAAATATTCTAGCCTACAGCATATGGTTTAATACTTATGGTGATAGGTAAGTCAGTATGCCTTATTGTAGAATACTGATAGGAAATATTCAGAAAGCATTAATTATCTACTGCAAAAAATTCACTTAATTATTCATTGGAAACAAAATTGTCCACCATCATGGGGGAAAATAAAATGAAGATAGAAGAATTGATTTAGTAGTATAATTGATTTTATTATTTTAGGTCTTTAAAATGTGGTGGAATCTATTTTTTTCCAGGTGTTTTGACTTCAGTGATATTGAGTCTAATTTAGTGATGTGGGCAGCAATACATTCATGAACATTTACATGTGCACACATAATGCATATGCAATTAATATATTAATATAATGCATGTGTACTATATATGTAATTTACAATTACATATAATGTATATATAGTATATATAATAATATGCATATATAAATAGATGATATAATATCCATTTTGAATTCTTCAATGTTACTTGGCAGTGAGTTGAAGTTTCCAGATTGCTTCTGTTGCTCCTGGTCGTAAGGTTGCCAGATATTTTGAAGAATGTCTTAAAACTGAGTTTGACTAAGAAAAACATGCACATTGGATAGGTGACTTACGTTGGTTCAACTATTTTGAAAAAAAGGACAGAGACCGAGGACACTTATTTAGGATCCTTTTGTGTCAGGTTATCCCTCATTATATTGTCAGACACATTGATTTCAATAACCCCCACCCCTAAAAGCAATTGTCTCTGAAACTCTATCTATGATTTCTTGACTTTAAGAATCTATCTTGTTTAGCCACAGCTTTTATAAACAGAGATAAAAGTGGAAAACACATCATTTTGCTATAGGTTTTGCTGAAATGTGCTTCATTGTTAAAGATAGTCCACCTAGTCCATATGACTGTTGATGCCAGTGATTAATGAGGCTTTACACTCAAAACTTTATGAAAACTAAAAATAAACTGACTGAAATGGGAAGATTTTGAGAATGTAGTGACTGTGAAAAACTTACTATGTACCATCCCAAAACTCACAGTCCTGTTGAGAGATAGAGAAGGCGATAGGCTATTTCTACACAGTACAGTAATTTGTGAGGAAACGTAAAAAAGCATCCTGTATGAAGGTATAATTGAACAGGTAGTCTAATCAGACATGGAGTCTAATCTAGGCAGAGAAAATGAAGGTTTACCGAAGAAAGGACAGGTAATTGTTTGAGTGTAAGTAAAGTGACAGAAGAGAAGAGATGAGAATTATAAATGAAAATATATTCCCAAAGTCCTTGAGCAAACTAGTGGTTTTTGCACTGCTTAGGTGTAGTGTGCAAACAGTTTAACTCCTCCTAAACTCATTATGCAGGTAGCTGGTGAAAGATGATGACAGGTAAGCTTGAAGTACATCGGGCTCATGCAGAGAGCCATGGGGAAAGATAAAAAGGATTTAATTAGGCAGTGCTATGATCAACTTGGGATTCAAAAAAAAATCATCTTTTACGGTAGAGTGCAGAAATAATTAGAGAGTAATAGAAAACTTAGAGTTGGGGAAGATTAGTAACTTAAACAGGATATCGTAATGGTATTAACTGACATAATAATTTGGTGGAGAAAATGAAGTGGATTTTAAACTATTGAGAACATTGAAGATGGGATTTGGTAATATCTTGGCTATGACTAATATGGGAGGAGAAGAAATCAAAGGGTGCCACAAAGAACTGGAGTTTAGGAAATTGGATGAATTATAGTAGTGCCTCTCATTAAAATATGCAATCATAGGAGAAGACATTTGTGAGAGACAGGGTGAATAATTAACTTAAATGATAATTTTTGAGTTTGAGATGTCAATGGCACCTTCAAGGGAAATATGAATAGGCTGCTGGATATAATGTGTACATTGATGTACAATTTTACTTAGAGATTCAGATTGAATTTTTTTTCTAGTGACAAACACTAAAAAAAGAACAGAATTGAAGCCAAAGTATTCAATTTCTCATTACTTAGAATTAAGTAAGTGACCATAGCCAAGTATAAATAAAATAATGTATTTGATCTGATTTATATTCTTTCATATTTGCTGTTTCTTCTTTCATTATGAATTTGTATAAATATGTTGCTTTATTTTCTCAAGGCTTATACTCATATACTTGGTATTAGTTAATTACAAGTTTGGATTCTTTCAACTGTGATGCATATTGTTCCCCATATTGTTCCCTTTAAGTGTACTTTTCAAAGAGCTTTTTTTGAACAATCTGAAAAATCCACATTCAATAAACAGATAATGAAATTTATCTGTATTACCACATGCTTAGCTACTATCAGTCTCTCTAATCTTAGAAGCTTTGTTCAGAATATTCTCTAAATATGTTAATTTGGATCATTGTTTTTGCATGTAATTGGCTTTTCAAAAATCTATTACCCTTTAGGGAAAATAATATCTTTTCTTCTTTCTGGTGGAAAGAATAATATATTTTTTATCTGGTGGAAAGAGTCATATTTTGAGAGACGGTATCAGCTTAAAACAAATTTCCAGATTCAAAAATCACAAACATTATAACCCTCTCAAATATATTCCTGTAAACTGTAGCTGAGGAATACAATTAATTGGTTTACCTTTAATATCATGCAGGCTGCATTATCATGTCAATGACTGCAAGTTAGGGTAGTGAAGAGATTACAGGATTGACGATACCTAGTATTGAGTGATGACTCTCGTCATTGCAGTTCAGCTAACTATTAATTGAGTCCCTCCTTCCCTAAAAGTTGTTTTCATTTCAATAATGTCAAAAAGAGTCCTCGACTTGCCAACCTAGGAAGGTTGTTGTAATGATTAAAGTTAAAAAGCGAGTATGTTTATGAAAGCATTTTATAATCTGTAACTACAATATAAATACAATCTATCCTCTGTATCTGTGGATTCTGTACCTATGGATTCAACCAGTATTGAATTGAATATATTTAATCATAGACTGAATATATGCTTTAAAAAATTGCATCCGTAATGAATATGTACAAACATTTTTACTTGCCATTATTTCCTAAATAATCCAGTATAACTACTATTTACATAGAATTTGCATTCTATTATGCATTATAAGTAATCTAGAGATGATTTAAAGTATATGGGAAGATGTGTGTAGGCTATATGCAAATACTATGCCATTTTATATTAGGAACTTGAACATCTGTGAATCTTGGTATCTGTAGGAGGTCCTGGAACCAAGTCTGCCACAGATCCTGAGGGACGACTGTAACAAGAAATGTCATTACAGTGCTGGCTTTGCTCTTGTATTTAGAAACTTATGAGCTACCAGGTCTGTTTGTTTAATGCAGTTGACTCCATTCTGTCACCATTAAGTCACGTTGAATGATTGGAACTAAATTTATTGTTTAAACCATTTTATTTCTCATTCTGCCTACCATTTTCTCTTTCTTAGGCAATGCTGATTAGGATGTGGGCTTTTTTATTTTTTCCAGAGAGTTACTATCTTTGGCCTGATAGAATTTTGTTTAGAGAAATCTTCTTTGGTTATGAATTATAATATGTGAGAGATTTCAAAGTTTCATAGAGATGTGTCAACCAAATATTCTGGGAAGGCTGAATTAATGATGCACAGAATACAGAGAGTCTTGCATATTCTTAAAGCATTTTCTTTACATATTTTTCAGCTTTGATGTCCAGTGCTATAGAATCAAGTTACTGTGGAGGTCAAAACAATTTGAGATACATAAGCTGGCCTTAGAAAATAAATTGCCTCTAACTTGTAAGTAAATTGATTGTTATGATTTTTTCTTTATTTTTTATTTTTTTTAAAGACAGTTTCACTCTTTCACCCAGACTGGAGTGAAGTGGCACCATCTCGGCTCACTGCAGCCTCCACCTCCTAGGTTCAAGCCATTTTCCTGCCTCAGTCTCCCGAGTAGCTGGGATTACAGGCGCCCACCACCACGCCTGGCTAATTTTTGTATTTATAGTAGAAATGGGGTTCTGCCATGTTGGCCAGGCTGGTCTTGAACTCCTGACCTCAGGTGATCCACCTGCTTTGGCCTCCCAAAGAGCTGGAATTATAGGCGTGAGCCACTGTGCCCAGTTGATTATTATGTTTTGAATATACATATAAAACCATGAAGAGTCATTAATTTAAAAATATTCCTCATAGATAAATTCTCATGGTCACATATGTTAATTTGTAATGTCTTAAAATTGTTACAACACTGTGCTAGTTACCAAGAATATCCAGGGGAAACACAGAAACGCTGGCATTCCTTAAATGCAGGCCTCTAATTGCAAAAGTTGTTTCCTCAAACACATACTTCCTTTGTAATTATTCTTTCCTCACTCATTTCTACAGGTATTGTAGCTTACAATATATCATGTTAAAGGTCTAGTCATTACCTTGATGCATGAGATTCATTTTACTGGTTAGAAAGCCATGGCTGTTATAGCAGTTTTAATCAAATACATAATTTAGGCAAGTATGTAAGAACATTTTTCTACACATTAATATCCTTCTTTGATGTTGCTTTTATGAATGTTAGCTAAGAAAACAACAAAAAAAAGGGCAGGCTTCTTGATGAGAAGGATAAAATAAACTGTTAAATACTAAGCCAAGTTTATTTTTTGTATCACTAAAGTGAATTCTGGAGCTTGTAACATACCAAATGTATAGAGACTGTATATTGGAAAGAAGAGCTGAAAGAAAATCAGGAATTTTTATTCTAAGCAAAACTTTATCCTAATCTAAATAGGTGAGTTTGTGCTTTGAGTTTCCTCTATTCAAAATGAGGGGTTTAGATTGCCAGACCTCAAAAAAAAATTGTGTGTGTGTGTGTGTAAATTTATAAAATATATATTATTTTTAAGGCAATTGACTTAGAGCTTCCTAATGTTTGCTAGCACAGATTGCATATTACATACAAATATGTCTGATAATAATTGCTTTTATAATTGTGAAGAATACTACAATTGCTCCTTCATCCTCAATTTTGTTCAATTTTAGCATTCCCCAACTAGAACTTAACACATCAAGAAGGTATTATTACTATATATGCATCATATAGTAAAATAATATAGTCAAATATTATATCTTACTGTATTGTATTTAATTGTATAATTTAATTGTGTAATGATGGTCATTTTAAAAAATCTTGGTGAGGTTACTAATATACCTAGTGTAATCCTCTAGTGCTTGACTCAGTGCAGTTGCAGATATCTAAGCCTGAAATACAATGTCTTACTACTGCAACACATTTCTCAGTTTCTTATTTTATACTAGCACCGAAAACCTCATAAAGCTGAAAATGGCAAACTCATAGTCTCCGGCTTCTTGGTCTTCACATGGCTGTGTTCATGTTAATTCTATTAAGGTAGTACCATTTATGATTGAGGTTGCTCTGTGATCTTTCATTGGTGATACTTTGGTTCTGGTCATAAATATTATGGTTTGTATACTGGTCATATTCATGCTACAGCTCCTGCAAGGATTGTGGTTGCCTGAAAATTCTGTATCTGGAGAACATTGATAGGAATGACCACAAACTAAATGAATCAATTGATTGTCTCTTCAGTCCATAATTACATTTTGAACTTTCTAAAAAAGTAAAATGTCCCATGAGATATTGCATTGATTGATTAATTCTCTGGAGCAGACTCCTTTGGTGCAAAAGCTGACTTTATTACCCAATAATTGTGTGACCATGATGATGTTATTTAGACTTCTCAAGGGTTGTTGCACCCACATGTAAAGTGAATATTCTATATATCAGTTTCCTAGGATTGCCATAATAATTATCACACACTGGGTATCTTAAAACAACAGAAAATCATTCTCTCACAGTTTCAGAGACTGTAAATCTGAAATCTACTTACCAGTAGGGTTGGTCCTTTCTGGGAGAATGCAGTCCATGCCTCTCTCCTCCATGCTTGGCAGTGGCTACACTGCCTTCAGCACCTGAGTAGTTATTTCTTCTTTATTTAAAGGTTGGCACATTTTCAGCTGAGTTATTTTATCAGCAAAATTTATTCCTTTGACATCCCAGAAGATTGTTCATCTTCCTTCTTTCCATCACATGTCTTTTTCTTTCAATCCAAGCTGCCAATGTTTATGCTTATATAACATTTTCAAAAACATTGTGGGTCTACTATGTATGAAGTGATCTGCACCATTAGAAAAAGGTTGTGCATTTCTGAAATAACTCCATTTCTATTTCTGGCTTCTCCTAAGATGGTTGACTGGATCCATGAATCACACACCTAATTTTTTCAACAAAAGTTTGTTCAGCCATACCTTTGACCCTCTCTTTAGAATTTGCTCTTCCAACAGTGAAATTCCTAATTCTTCCATCCTTTGCAACGTAGATATGCTAAGAATCTTCCACATCATCAAGTGCTGATTCCTTCTCACACAGAAGTTTCATCTTCAGTTTATCTCTTTTCTTTTATATTTTACTATAAGGAACAAGGAAAAACCATACTTCACCCTCAACACCTCACTTGAAACTTTCTCAGTTATATATTCAAGTTTAACCTTGCAAGTCTTGCTTTCTACTTGATAGTAGAACATGATTCAGCTAAAATATCTGCTACTTTCTAGCAAGGATCTGGTTTGTTACAGTTTACAATAACTTGTTCTTCATTTTCTTTGGAGACATCACCAGAAAGATCTTTAATGTTTGTCTTTCTACTGACATCTATTCAAAAAAGTATGTGTTCTTTAAGAAGTGAGAAGCATTCTCTACAGTGTTCTTCACTTCCTTCTGAGGCTCATCACAATAGTCTTAATATTCATGTTTCTGCCAATATCTCTTCAAGAGGTGCCTCCACATTCTACCAACTTCTGTCCATTACCCAAATCCAAATCACCTTCTGCATTTGCAGTTAATTGTTACAGCAGCACCTTACTTCCTGGTAACAAAATCTGTATTGCTTTCCTGGGGCTGTCGTAACAAATGGCCACACATTGGGTGATTTAAAACAACAAAAATGTATTGTCTCAAAGTTCTGAAGGCCAGAAGGCCAAAATGAAGTGTTAGCCGGACTGGTTCCCTTTGGAGGCTCAGAGAGTCTGTTCAGTGCCTCTTTCTTATCTTCTGGTGGCTTAGCTAACCCTCATGTTCCTTGGCTTGTTAGAAACATAACTCCAATCTCTTCTTCCTTCTCCACATGGCCTTCCCCTCAGTGTGTCTCTGTATGTCTTCCCATCTTCTGTCTCTTACAAAGATACTCTTATTGGATGTTAGGCCCAACCTAGTCTAGGATTATCTCAGCTCAAGGTATTTGCTTTAATTAGATCTATAGACATTCTTGTCTGAAATAATGTCACCCTCACATATTCTGGGTGGTAAAATTTGAAAGAGGTCAGTATTCAACTCTATACATTATTATGAACTACTTGTATGATAGTTTGGAAATTAAATGAACTATTATAGTATTTGACCTGCAATATACCTCAATAAATAGAATCTAGAATTTGTGTCTATTACTAGTTTAGATGAGTGCTGCCATGTTTTTACAACTACCAAAGGAATGTAACAAAATATTATGAAACCACTTTATAATATAATTCACTTGTGCTAAGAAGTAACAAAATACATGGTATAAAACATAAATGCTAAAAGAATTTAGGTAAATAAACATTAGTAATAGATGATTGCTTTTTGGTAGGTAGAGATCCCTATAGAAATAAAAAGTAGGTACAGTAAATTTTAGAGAATGAGGAAGGATGTTGTGATTGACATGAAGAGTTCTAAGTTTTAAATCTCAGTTGATATTTATAGATGTGCCTGTAAATTTCTAATTATGGCTGTGCTATTTCGTACATGTTTTGTGCAGGAAAAAACTTCCAATGGTGTCCGAAAGAATCAGAAAAAGTTGAAATAGTTGTCTGAGAGGTTATCAATTTAATAGTTTAGATTGGCAAACAGTTATGATTAGGATTGACTAAAATAACGAAGAATGCAGATATAATAATGGCTTTACAAAATACAACTTTATTTATTATATGGAAATATTCAAATGTATAGAAGTTGAGTACAATGTGATGCTCTTCTCCACGAAGCACAAAATGTCTTACATTTATATCAATCATCTTACGTAGCCTACATTCCCAAAGTCAACTCACTTCCAAGTTGGGGAATCCAACATGGCCATCTAATTAATTCCAGTCATCAGGAAGGAGCAGATCAAATAAGAAAGGACAAATGTAGCATGCCAACTAACATTTATAGAATGTTCCTGAGAGCTGCATGCACCTCCACTCGCTTCCCAGTGGTCATAATTTTTTTTGCAAAGCTATACCTGGCAAAAGGGGCTAAAAAGCATTTCATTGGCAGCAAAATATATGATGATCTAATGATATCAAATAAAATATATTAGATTTCTACCAAAATCTGTCTATCTGTTTTGCAACTTCAGTACCCAAGCACAGGCCAGGCATGGTGGTTCACATCTGTAATTCCAGCACTTTGGGAGGTCAAGGTGGGTGGATCGCTTGAGCACAGGGGTTCAAGGTTCAGCCTGGGCAACGTGGTGAAACCTGCTTTCTAGCAAAATAAAACATTAAAAAAAAATCTCTGCAAGCACAGTATTCATTTTTCTATTCTATATATTTAATCTCATTCTTAGGGGAGAAAATATTCTAAAGCCCTAATCTATTATTTCATTCAACTCAAACTCCAAGATCCCTATATAATATACAGTCCTCTTTATCAGATCAAGATGTAAGTCCTTGTTGTACTGTGACCTTTGTAAACAATGGCCTTCAGTAATTTAAAGAAGCATACAATAAAAAAAACAACATCCAATGACAAAAGAATACCAGGCTTATTAACCTGCCAGGCAAAGAGATACACCAGTAGAATAAAATCAGTGATTCACTAAGAATGCAAATCAGAGATATCTAACCACTAGAAAGGGGGGAAGTATATGTTACTGATGCTTAGTTATGCCAATGAAGATTGAAAAGAAGCTCTCTGGTTAGGAAGGGAGGAGTCCAGGATTCTGTGCACAAATAATTATTTAATAAAACAGGAATCATTGTTCTCTGGTCAGGCCAGTGAGGTTCTGGCATAGTGATATCACTCAAATATTATTATATTTTAAGAGATTTTGTTGGTTATAATGGTTGTGTTAAAACACAGAGTCAGCTTTAATATCTCCTATACAAGTAGGTAGAAAAATTTACTTTACATCTGTAAATTAAAATTCAAGTTATATATCCCTAACACATTTACCATACAATTGTACTGAGGTAATAAGTAACACATTTCAAAACCTGCATTTAGAAAAAGGAGGAGCGGGAAACACAAGGCCATCATTAGTCTGGGAAGAAATTGAAGGTTCCTTTTGCTGGCAGTGTAGTTAATTCATGTTACACCATCTGTTAGTGGCTGGATTTACTCTCTGGCAGGAATTACCTTTTTCATTGTTCTCTATGGCCTCTGGATCCTTCTTTCTGGAAGGTTTATTTTTGTCCATTATGTGCTCTGTCCACATGTGAAGTAGGCAATGGAACAGATGTCCTTTTAAGAGGCTGAAAAGCTTTAAAATGATACTTATATAGATGTAGGTTTGCTGGCCTATGGACTGTTTTGAAGAGTTTCAGGCTAGGTTTGAAATATTATTTGATTACGTTTTTGTTGTTTTTATTTTTTCAATACAATTCTCAAAAAAATTACTTAGTACAATTCTTACATGTTTGCTTTGTGTCATATCCTTGCTGCCACATATACATCTCTTAGGTGTAAAACTGTGAAGAGTTGAAAATGTTACACTACTTGTTTAGATTAGATAGATAGATAGATAGATAGATAGATAGATAGATAGATAGATACTGGGTAGATTATATAGTAAGATAAATAGATATAGATATGTATATACATACAGATTGGATAAATAGAAGATAGAAATATAGTTCAATAGATACACACATACACACAAATACACTAGCAGAAACACCAGAGATTATCAAGAACACACCAAAAGCAAACAAAACAAAACAAAAAACCTCTTTTTACTGACTCACAGAATACCTTAGTGATGTTGCTATTTGCCCATACCTCAGTCCTTCATAGGGCTATGTAAGGAAAGCCAAACGTACCCTGCACATAGAGGGGTCTCTACCACAGTAGAGAAACTCCAAAATTATGAATTTTAAAGCTTACATAGGAGCCAACCATCTATGCTTCTGGACTTATAAAAGGTGCTTATCTTTTATTTTGGAATGTACAAAGATCTTCTGTTGGTGGAAGAGAAGAAATTCTACAACCAAGAATGTAAACATTGAATCATGCAGATAATAGAAAGGCTCTCATATCTTTTGAAGAAGGAACAGATGTCTCTGGTGAAAAAGGAGACAAAAGACTTCATATCTACCACCCTTAGAACCCAAAGAGGAGGTAGTTGTGGGGGAAAAGAAGAGGATGCGTGTTCTATCATTATAATTTGACAATGTCTATTGCTTGGGCGGTCCAGACCATGTCAAATCACCAAGAAATCCAGGGAAGATTTCCTTCCAACACTGCCAATCATCTTATTATCTCCGTCTTAAAGACTGGAGATCTATGTGGTTTAGGTGTCATTCACACCCAACTCTCTTATTTGTGTTATTCCTAGCTAGAAGTAATTGTAAAAGAGGGCGTTGGTATGAAGTAGCAACTTAAATTATATATTTTACCCAGTGGGGCTTCCATTGTTTCACTGAGAACTAATAATGACAAATCCTGGAAAAAGACCTGAGGTATATCCTTACCTCCTGCTAAGCTTCCATATTGAGAACCACTGCTTAGAGCTGCTTCCCTGTGAGGTATAGCAGTGGTTGGCTTTTCAACCCAGCAATTTGCCATATTACTGGTCTGCTGTTAGTGAATAAGTGTGTGCTGCTTTCAGAGAAGGCCTTCTTTGACTTAATTGTTGCATCCCTCTTCATCTCTCTCAGCAGGTGGTTATCTACAAGTTAAGTTACTCTCTTTCTTATAAACTTACCTAATGGTGGCAAGAGTAGTTAATGCACAATATATCTTCATTTTATTAAAATCCTGGAGGCTAGAATTCCAAGATCAAGGTGTCAGCAGGGTTTATTTCTTCTGAGGTCTCTGTTCTTGGCTTTTAGATGGCCATCTTCTCCCTGTGTCTTTAAATAGCCTTCCCCCTGCATATGTCCTAAATTCCTCCTGACTTATAAGGGCATCAATCATATTGGATTAGGGCCAACCATAATAACCTCATTTTAACTTAATTACCTCCTTTAAGGACCATATGTCAAAATATAGTCATAGTCTGAAGCACCACGGATTAGGGCTTCAACTTACGATTTTTGGAGAAATACAATTAAACTGTAGCAATATCTTATAACTGCTTCTTATTCTACTACTTTACCAGTGCCTGATTTGCCATATGCAGGTAACAGGAAAGATTTACCATATTTTGCTACTGCATTATAAGGTTACAAAATTCTAGTCTGTAATGTCAATCCTTGCCATCTGCTGCTGGACAACTTCCATTAAGCCAATGATACGTGTTCTGTTACTTGAAGCAACTCAGTTCCAAAAGAAAAAAAAAAAAAAAACCTGGAATCAATTGCAATTAGTTTCAAATGTAAATTGCAATGACCTCCAATTAAAAGTGCTGAAAATAAGATACACAATTCTCAATTAAATGTTCTTAAGTAGGCTTATAAACTGGCTTGGCTCAGTGTGTTCATGGGACAGACATTCTTTTTCATCTTGTTGCTCTCCTGCTAGTGTCTATTTTGAAGGCTGGCATTGTCTGCATTCCAGCCATTGGGAAAGGGTGAAAGGAGAAAGAGACTTTGCCATGATTATTTGAGAGAATATTTGTGGAATCTGCCACGTGATAATAATTTTTGCATTCCACCGGCTACATCTTAATAACAGCCTCATCTACCTACAAGGGAGGCAGGGAGATATTGTCTTTTTAGGAGGTGGCCAAATTCCCACCTAAAGAAAAGAGGGATGAATATTGAGTATTGAGAGGTTACCAGCAGACTCTGATACACCAAAGTTTATATACGTAAAAGAGAAGAGAGAAAAGCAATGAGTATTTTAATGCTATATTGATCCAGAGTAAATGGCAGATAAGAAAGAAACAGGATCTGAAGAAGAAAAAAGCTATTGGGCATATTTTAGGAGGTACGACAGACAGTAGGAGAGAAACCATGCCCCAAAGAGTTAAAGAAACCAATGACTAACAGAAAATCTTGAGTTTGTAGGATAGTAGATTAGAAAAGAACCAACTTGCTGAAATGCTGAAACTTCCTCCAACTGTGAGATTTTAAAAACTGGCTGAAATCAGTTGGAACCAATATGACCCATTGGAGTTTGGGCAGAACAAGCTTGCTGACATTGAAGCCTGAATTTACACTGCATGTTTTATACTAACTACCTCCAAATTTGCTCATTTGATCCATCAGGCAGCATGAAGAGATAACTGTACATGCCCGAGGACTTTCCAGACCTCCCCTTCCCTTCTATCAGTCACCTGCTAATCCCAGAATCTACTCCCTAAACCTTTTCTAATAAAATTATTGCCTTAAAGTCAGTGCAGGGAGACAGAATTGAGCTGGACTCACTGGTTGGCTTGTAATAGAACACTTTTCTTTTCTCAAAAACCCAGTGTCATAGCATTAGCTTCTAGTGCATCAGGCAGAAAGTCTCCTTTGCTCCACAGGAGTAACTGGAGAAATTTTGATTCAGCCAGATTTTTATAGTCCTCAGTGCCCTCTGATGCTGACCTCTCCAGGGCATCTGGTGTTCCCTCATTTTCTCATTGTACACTAGAAACACTGAACAGAAAAAATTGCTTATTTTTGATAATATTTACATGGTTCTTATATTTTGACACAGGTCTGTCTTTGGGTAATATTTCAAAAGAATTTTTAAAAAGTAATAAAAATCCCAGCTTAAAAAATCTTATAAAATGTGCAGCCCAATCATCATTGATATAAATCAAGGATTCAATCATCATGAATCAACTTCTGTAATATTGAGTCCAAGAACAGTTGGAGGACAAAAGAGGAAGAAGGCTAAGGCAGGAGGCAAGGAATGAGGTTAAAGATGGGGAGGGAGTTAGGCACTATCTGGCAGACAAACCACATATCCTTACTGACTCTTTCTTCTTATTTTTCTTCACTGGCTTAATGTTCTCAGAGAGTATGTAAAATGCAGAAGTCCTCCAGGGCAGGCCTTACCCATCTCTTCTTTATTTACAACATTTTTAACAGGATACTTCATACAGCTCCATATCACTAAATATCATCTACGTGGCGATGTTCCCTACATTTATTTCTCCAGGACTGGCATTTCCACTAGTCTTCAGACCCAAATATCAAACTGCCTACATGACATTTCTGCTTAGATATATTAGACATATCTTATATTTAATATGTCCAAAAGAAAAAAATTAATTCCCAGTTTTGTATACAAAACTTTGTAAAAATCTTCTCAGTTGTATTATGTCAGACACTTAGAGAAACAGAGCCTAATATCAGGTTAAATGTGAGAGGATTGTATTAAAGGGTATGAGTTTTCTGTGGCTGCCCAAACACATTATTAAAAACTTGGTAGTTTAAAACAAAATGAATTCATTCTCTAACAACTAAAAAAGGCAGAAGTCCAAAATCAATGTGTTGGCAGGGCCTCAATGCCTCCAGACGCTGAATGGGAAAATGCTTCTCTTGCCTATTGTAGCTTCTGGTGGCCATTGACAACCCTTGGCTTCCTTGGATTACAGTCACATCACTCTGATCTCTGCCTCCATGGTCATACTGCATCCTCCTCTTCCATACGTCTTCTCCTCTTTTGTCTGACTCAAAGATTCCTCTACCTTTGCCATATAATGACATTTGCTATTGGATTTAGATCCTGCTCAGATAATCCAGGCTAGTATCTTCATCTGAAAAGCCTTAATTTAATTCCATCTGCAAAGATTCTTTTCCCAGATAAGTTAGCATTTACATGTTCTGGGGTTTAAGATGTGAAATTATCTTTGTGATAGTCACCATCCAGTCCTATCACAGTCTAACCTCAGCCCCTGAAAATTTATGTGAATCTATATGCAACAATAGCCAACCTATCCCGGCATACTTGGAAGTCTAAATCCATTATAGCACAAACTCTAAATTTATAATCTCCTCTATATATCATTAACCCAGAAGCCAAAATTGATAATTTAACTTAGATATGCATGAGACTTTGGATATGATTCATCTTGAGGCAAAATTTCTCTCCATTTATGAACCTGTGAAACCAGAAAACAAGTTATCTGCCTTAAAAATATAATGGTGGGCTTGGCATAAGATAGATGGCCCCATTCCAAAAGGCAGAAATTGTAAACAATGAAAAGGTTACCAGTCCCAAGCAAGTTTGAAATCTAACAAGACAAATCCCATTAGGTTTCAGGGTCTCAGAGTAATTAATCTTTTGTAACTCACAGCTCCTTTCTCTTGGCCTGAGGCTCACTCCTGTGGGCATGAGATTCCATCTGCTTTAGTTTCTACACCCATTGCTCCACCAGCCTCTGCCTTTGAGTAATTCTTCCTTTTCCTTGAAGGTTCACACACATTTACAGCTGAGTAGCTCTATATTTCTGTTTGTTGCCTGTAGATTTTTGAAAATCCTGCAATTTTCTGTCATATTATCATCTTACGTTCCTTTTGGTCCAAGCTAGCAGTATGTCTGCTATAACAGTCTCAAAAACCTAGTGGTTCTCCTGTGTGAATCACAGTGATTCATATCATTAGACGAGAGTCCTCCATAGATTTTTTTTCCTCTGGATAATACCATTTCTATTCTCAGATTATAATGAGATTTAAAAGTAAATTTTTAATTTGTAATCCTTTGGCAGAAGGTTGTCCAGTAATATCTTTGGACTTCTCTTAACAGCACACGTTTCCAACAGTGAATTTTCTAATTGTAGTATTCTTTGCAATTTGTACAGGCTTAGAACCTCTTGAGTCATCAAATGCTGGTTGCTTTTTGCTTAATAGTTACTTCCTCAATTTATTTTTTTCTCTCACAGTTTTCAATAAGCAGTAAAGAAAAAACAGGCTGCACTCTTAACATTTTGTTTGGAAACCTCCTCAGCTAAAGTCATCACTTACAAATTCTACATCTCGCCAAAGAGGGAAACACAATTCAGCCAAGTTTCTGACCACTACAAGGATTAACTTTCCCTTGGCTTCCAAATATATATACTTCTGAATCCTCTCCATTGTGCATTTAACAGTCATATTTACACCAACATTCAATCTATGAAATTTATTTATTCTCCAAGGCATTAGAGACTTTCTCTACCATGTTTCTCAATTCCATCTAAGTGCACATCAGAATTAACCTGACATTCATATTTCTACCAAGTCTCTTCAAGACAATTCAGGAATTTTCTATTGTGCTTCTCCAAATTCTTCCAGTCTTTAACCGTTACCAAATTTCAAAGCCACATTTTTCGGTATTTTTTCAGTATTTGTTGTAGCTATTTTTTCGGTATTTGTTGTAGCAGAACCTGACTTCCAGATGCCAATATCTTCATTAGCTTCCTGTGACAGCCTGTACAAATGGGTGGTTAAAACAAGATAAATATATTCTCTCACAATGTTAGAGGCTGGAAGTCTTAAATCGAAGTGTCAGCAAGGCCATATTTCCTTAAGTGACCTAGTAGAGATTCTGTACCTTGCCATATAAAGTTTCTGGTAGTCATTAGTGTTCCTGACTTCCTTGGCTTATGGCCACTTCACTCTAACGTTTCCTTTTTTTGGTAAAATTGTCTCCTTTTCTCCTTTGTGTATTCTCTTATTCTGTCTGTCTCAAATTTCCCTCTACCTTTGTCTTGGAAGGACATGTCATTGGATTTTGGACTCACTCAAATCATCCGGGGTGATCTCCTTATTTTAAGATTTTAACTTTGTTAATTCTGTGAAGACGTTTTCCCTAAGAAGTGACGTTCCCAGTTTCCATTAATTAGGACATATTAGAGACATTGTTGGGGAATATCATTCAATCTGATCCATATAAGAGGTATCTATGTGAGAAAAAAAATAGGCTGCCTGGAGGTGACCGAGAGAGTAGCCTGACTACAGTGAAAAATCTCTTCCTAATGACTAGGGGTGGTTGAGAAGTTTGTAATAAGTGTTGTAAACTGTAGAACAGTGTGAGAAAGGTTTTCCCAAGCAATCTCTCCACTATACTCTATCTATCTTTGTAAAATTGTTGTTCTAGCTCATGTCGGCATCACATCTTCTGTAGACTGCTGCAACAGCCAACGTTAACTCTGCTTTGTACTTTCCTACAATCCAGGATTCACAATGCATTCTGCTGTGCTTTAAACAATTTTCACATGTCTTTCTTTGGTCAATAATGACTTGAATGAGATGAAGCATGGATACCTCTCTGGCCTCACTGTTGGAGTTGTAAAGGAACAACTAAATAATGCTTATTTAACTACATTTGAATAGTGCTTACCATGTGCCAAATATGGCTAAGCACTGACGAATGTTAATAATATTAATTTAACCCTCAAAAACTTATCTTCATTTTACAGATGAATACGTTGAGGCAGGGTGAGTATTTGTGTTTTGCCCAAAGTCACAAAATTACTAATGGTACAGAAGCAGTTGAGAAACAAAAGTAGGGAACGAACAGGTGGGGGTCAAGTGTTAGCTTTATTAATGACTGATGAAAGATTGGTGGATGGGATGTAAGTGTAATATGTGATTTCCTTATAGTCACACTAGAGTAAAATTAACCAACACAACTTCAAACTTCTCAACAGACCAGAAGGCACCGTCTGTCAGGCAGGTGATTAGAAGAGAAGTCAGAGGAAGCTTACTCATTCATGTCCAGGTTTATTCCTGAATCGTTATTTAGTGAGTCTCCCTTACTCCCCTGGGTCATACCAAAGGAAGGGGTAGGACAGGAAGCCTGAAGTGTTACCAGAATAAATATCCCTCTATATGAAAACAGGAGAAGTAAAGAACAAGTTTTCTCGTCTGACATTCTTCCCAAGCTTTTCCATCCCTTACCTCTTTGGTGCCTTTCATTGCTGCCTCTTGCTTAAATCTCAAGTTCTCTGATTTAACTTCTTTATGTTTTAGTGGCCATGCTATTATTTTTATTTTTAAAAAAGAGCTTGATTATTAATGAAAAGTAATTTTGTTCTCAGTTTTAAAGTCTATAAAATATGGAAGTTTCTGCTTTCTTAGGTTTCCTGATATTATTGGTTTTATTTGATTGATTTATATTGACCATGATATTGATAAGATAAATGAATCTTTAAATGAGTGCTTATTCAGACTTCTGACCTGCACAGGAAAACCTCAGGACATTTTTAAAAATTTTATCAGTCATAAAAAAAAATCAGTTATTTAGGTAGGGCACTAATTCCATTGATAATGTATTTTATGTAATATATTTACTATTTAGCATATATTTATAAAATACTTAACGTATTGGCATAAAAAATGACTAGGCAAAAAAGAGAAATTCTCCTCTGATTTATGTGGGGCAAAAGGAAAAGTAATGGTCAGGGAAGTAGTTGCATATGGCCTCAACATTAAAAAAAGCTAGTAAACCCAAATTTTGTTGTTTTGTAAAAGAAATGTCTGCATTCAAATGGCTGGCATTCAATACATATTTGTTGAATGAATGCATTACTAACAGATGACAATAACTTCCTTGGAGTTATTTAATTTCTTTTATATTTTATCTTGCCTTTGAGTTTTGAGCAATCACTTTCCACTCTTTGGAATGCTTTTCCCAGAGTTCCATGTGTATCCATTCAGATCTCATGTGGAATGTCACTTCATTGTGAAAACCTCCCTGGCAACACAAGGCCTTCTCATCTGCAACACTCTGTAGTATATAACTCTATCACAGAGAAAGACACAGTGCTCTGTTCCCAGCACCACCTTAGAGCATCATCCTCTGCTGAGTGACATCACTCTGCTCCTAGTGCTACCATAGAAGGACACAACTCTAATCCTAGCACTGCAACCCTATAGTTCACTCTATCATAGAATGTAGCATCATCCCAACCAAAGCAGATCTAATGCCAGTCTGTCTCATCAGTAACTAGAGAGATTTTTTTTTCACATTAACATCTGAGCAAGGATTTTAAGGTCAATCTATTAAAGATGCTATTTTTATGTTCCCACCGGCATTGGACATACTTATGTTTAAGATTATGTATTAAAAATTGCTGTGCTGCAATGATTTATATAGAGTCTCATGTGATGTTTTTCATGCAAGTTAGGTTTGCTTTTGTGTTCGTGACCACAATTTTGTCTTTCCCACTATTAATACAGCCATTGTCAAACCAGCTGCTTCCCTAAACCTAGAGATGCGATTTTGTTAAACCAGTTAAAATATATTTTAAAAATATTCTATCATCTATCTATCTATCTATCTATCTATCTATCTATCTATCTATCTATCTCTCCATCCATCCATGTAATCAAGGCTTTTGGAATTTGAAAAGTAATATTACATGTACAAAGATTTCCTTTGGAAGTGAGATGCTTATAAAAAAAGTATTAATAATTATATGTATATATGTATAGATATAAACTAATTTTACTTCAAACCTTTAAAATTTATATGAAAGAAGCTTAAAGGATTTTGATATATTTTCAAACAAAAATTATGATCATTTGAAGTAAGTTACATTACTATTGTAGACATAGTTTTCTAGTTACTTGTTATTTAAACAAAAAGTGTCAGCTCACACGGGCTTTAATTTGGTGAAGTCTATTATTGCAAGTTCAAAAGTGTTAAGGTCGAGGTTCTTGGCAAATGAATCCTTAGCCTACTCTCATAATAAGCACATCCTCCAGGAGTAAGAGTTTTTCACAGGTTTTCAGTGGCTTCTAGGCCAGCATCTTTTCAGGTACATGTAGAAAATACCTAGATGATGTTTGTCTTCAAGGATGCTAGAATATCTGTGAATCTATGCCAATACCTAGCGTGTGCGTGCATGTGTGTGTGTGTGTGTGTGTGTATTCTGACTACATTTTCATCAAATCTTATAAAATATGGCTTTATGTAATTTTTAAAAATCAATTGTCGGCCAGGCACGGTGGCTCACGCCTGTAATCCCAGCGCTTTGGGAGACCGAAGCGGGCAGATCACGAGGTCAGGAGATCGAGACCATCCTGGCTAACACAGTGAAACCCCCTCTCTACTAAAAATACAGAAAAATTAGCCGGGCGTGGTGGTGGGCGCCTGTAGTCCCAGCTACTTGGGAGGCTGAGGCAGGAGAATGGCGTGAACCCGGGAGGCGGAGCTTGCAGTGAGCTGAGACCATGCCACTGCACTCCAGCCTGGCGACAGAGTGAGACTCTGTCTCAAAAAAAAAAAAAAAATTGTCTTTTTATTAAAAAATAAAATGTATGTCTGTATTCTCCTCACCTAAATTTTAGTTGCTCATCAGAGCACATTTATGTTTTTGCATTGATGTTTTAAGCAAAATTCACTTTTACGTGAAAAAGAAATATTGTATTTTTTACCTAAGTAAAATAATAAAGACTTCTTACTCTTCAAGCCAAAGTTACATCTTTAGTATGTTCTAGAATCCATATCATTCATGGATTTCAACTTAGGGACTATATGTGTATATAAAATACACACACATATGAAACTTGACAATCCATAATCTGTTTAAGTCAGCTTGTCCTTATCCCATAAGGTCTTTTTATTCTTACTTGAAAAGTAAAATGAAATGAAGAAAAGGTGGTATTGTTAAGGTCATATTAATCTATAATAAATTAGCTTTTAATGTGCCAAATATTAAGTCCACCCCAAAAGCTCATCACTTTTCATTTTATGTATTCAGGTAAATGAGCCTGGGAGACTGATAGCCACCTAGGAAGACATCACTCTTGAATGCCCAAATGTAGCATAAAGGAAATGGACATTAGTTAGAGCTTACAGTAATCTCAGAGGATCTTTATAGGTATTGGCTTAGTCATAAATTGACAAAGAACCTTGTTTGCCCTCGGCTGTCAAGAACCATAAGAAAAGATGTTTAAAATGCTTTGAAAAACTTTAAAGGATGGACATTTGTTTAAACTCCAGCTGTGGCACTTTGCTTGCATTGTTTCCTGTTTTTGGAAGCATTGCAAAAACTGAATATAAGACGTTCAGCTATAGATTTTCATAGCAATTCAACACTCTTTCCATAATCCCAAATATTGATCAAATTGCATTTAAGAGTTATCAGAAGAGTTATATTTAAGGCATTTACGTTAACATTTAGATTCCTTTCCCAAAACATTTCACATTTATGTGATGATATACAGTATAGAATTAAAGCTGCTGTGATTTTAATAATTTTTAGAATTAAGTGTATTTTGTAAATAAAACTATTGTACATAATATGACATAAAATTGTATTTTGTTGAGATGCTTCAAATTGGGATCTATTTAAAAAGTGTTGTTATCAAAAAATAATGAATGAAGACATTAAAATGTCTTTTTTTCATGCCTTGAATTTTGTGATCTTATTTAATGTCCTTGTTAGGTCTTAATATGAAATATGTTTTCTTAATCTTTATGATCTCAGGCAACTGTGTTAAGCTGTTGGCTTTTAATTATTTTTATCCTCAAATAAATTTTCATATGACCTCTATTTGTCCCTTCTTAAAGCAACATAACTCTTTTCTTTAATATATTATTATACATTAATAGAATTTAATTTTCTGCCCCCATTACCTATAATTGCTTTATACATGAAAGGGGACTTTTCTATTGTGTCTATTCTAATACTGTAGTGTAGTTCATTTGTAAAGCAGAAGCCAAGAGAGTTTAATAACATATCCTATATCCCATCCACCAATCCAAAGGACTCACAAAAGAATATTTTCAGGAAGTATTAAGCAAATTGCCTAGTTTCACGATGTTTTTGTTTTCTTAGAAATATTTAATGTAATGGACAAGTCTACAGAATGTAAATATAATAGTCTTCTTAGGCATCATATACTCTACCTCCAGTGGACAGTATTATTTCTACAACAGCCCTATTTGAAACACTGCTTGTCTAATTTCATAAACTTCTCTTATGATGAGCCTGATAGTCTTAGTGACAATCTCTAGTTCATATATTCTCTGAACTATATAGCATGATACAGTCTGCTTATTTTCATGCCTATTATAAAACATAAAAAGAAAAAAGCTCTGGGAGCAGATATAGGCATTTAAAAATTTCCCTTTAGTGGTTCAAGCATGTGAACTCAAACAGAGGCTGCTTTTGGTCTTTGAAACATTAAGATATCTAAAGAACTCTCAATTCTCCTATCCTCATCTCTCCCATCTCTCATTCTCCCTCCTGAGAACTATGGGTGGAAATAAATTCCTGCTTAAATCCAGTGCTATTCTGAGGCAGGTACCACTTTACTGAGATAACTGACTTCTATCCTACATATTCAATATTCTATATTCTACATATTCTGTATGTAGACAGCAGCCAATAGGCTTTTGTGCTACAAAGTCAATACCAGTCATTAAGGAACCTTAGTGACCTGTTTTCAGTCAAAGCCACTCTAACAAAGGTGGATAGGGACAGGTTTGGTCTAAAAGACACCAGGAGTAAATTTTATTAACACAAAATCAAGAAAGGGTTTTGGAGTCAACAAGCTGTAACAACTAAAGGGAAGATATAGTTACAGAGAATTTATTTTTTAAAAATTAATAACACATTACTTTTTTAATGTACATTACATTTTTTTAAATTTAAAAATTTTTTTTAAAAATTGTAATGTTTTTAAATGTACATTACAATTTTTAAAAATGTAACTTTTTAAAGGCATTTTTGCTCAAAATAATAGTATGTTAGAAGTTCAAAGAGTTTATAAACATTTTGGCAAGAAAAAGCATCCTCTATTTTCTAGGCACAGGATAACTTCATCAGTTTGTAGAAAAGAAGCTCAAATTTTAATTTTAATTTCCATTAAGTATCTGAGTTATAATTTGTAGTCAAGACTTAATCATATTACTTTACAAATGATTCTATTCGTATTGACTCAGGTTTGTCAACACAATTTAAGATAATTTACTATTTCTTTTGAAATAATATGTGTATATTATAAATTAAGTAAATCACATTTCTCAAATTTTTAAAAATTATAGTATGCTCTCAAATTTGCTTTTTTAAAATTTTATTTATTAAACTTTTAAATTAACCTTAATATTCAATTAAGACTTTTATTTTTAGCCTTAAAATATAACCTATCATCATATTAAACAACACAATAAATGCATTATATTATTGGTTTTTCATCTTAATGAACAATAGACAAAATATTCATCTTTCATGCATATTTCAGTTACTCTGTAAAAATATATATGAATTATCACATTTAAATAATGATTTTTTTCCCTGATAATAAAAGAACTCTAGATAGCAGGAAACTAAGAATAATAGATTTTTTTTATGGGCATATATTTTATGTCATTTTTTAGAAAATGTCAATGTAAAATTGTTCTAGATGGAATTAAACAGGCAAGAAAGACTTTATTCAAGACTATTGAAATAAGGAGGTTGATTGGAATGAACTGCACTAAAATAAAATGTGAGAGAGGTTTTAAGCACCAGGATGTCTTAGTAGAAAAGTGCTGAAAGAAGTTAGGGGAGAATTTGGTTAATGTTATTAGGCAATGGTATGGCTTGGATTTGTGTCTCTGACCAAATCTCATGTCGAATTGTAATCCCCACTGTTAGAGGAGAGGCCTAGTGGGAGATGACTGGATCATGGGGATGGATTTATCCCTTGCTGTTCTTGCCATGTGAGGTCTCACAAGATCTGGTTGTTTAAAAGTGTATAGCCGGCCGGGCGCAGTGGCTCACGCCTGTAATCTTAACACTTTTTGAGACCAAGGCAGGCAGGTCACCTGAGGTCGGGAGTTTGAGACCAGTCTCACCAACATGGTGAAACCTCATCTCTACTAAAAATACAAAATTAGCCAAGCATGGTGCCACATGCCTGTAATCCCAGCTACTCAGGAGGCTGAGGCAGGACAATTGCTTGAAACTGGGAGGCAGAGGTTGTGGTCAGCCGAGATTGTGCCATTGCTAATTCAGCCTGGGCAACAAAAGTGAAACTCAGTCTCAAAAAAAAAAAAAAAAAAAAAAAAGCGCGTAGCCATTCCACCTTCTCTCCCTTTCTCCTGCTCTGGCCATGTAAGATGTGCCTGCTTCCCCTTCTGCCATGATTGAAAGTTTCCTGAGGCCTCCCCAGTCATGCTTCTTGTACAGCCTGTGGAATTATGAGCCAATTAAACATCTTTTATTTATAAATTACCCAGTCTCAGGTAGTTCTTTATAGCAGTGCAAGAACAGACTAAAAATACAGGCCGTCTGGGTTTGTTAACTGGTGCTATGGATGCTAGGCTCCTACTGTCTTATAGAGGCAGAAAGATAAGGTCCTCATTTCTTTTAATGATTACATTTCAAAGGAATGACTCCTGATCTTTGAGAAAAACGTGTATGGATTGTCAAATGTTGAGGTTGTGAAAATATTTACATCTCAAAAAAGCAGAGAAAGATTATACAATTGGAAGTTTTCTAGGAAGTTTTCCGAAAGGTACATACTTTAAGAAAAGGGAGGTCAAAAATCTGGAGTTAGAAAGCAGCCTATCTTATTAATCAAGCTTAGGGGAACATTGAATCCATGTTGGTCAAAGATGGAAAAATGAAGAAAATCATATGGATAACTATTTAGAAAGATCTGTGTCTGCACAGTATATTAAGCTTTAACCAATCTGTATGTAGAAATAAAAAAAGGCATTTAAAATCATATTTGTAGCCAATATCTATATATTTTTCTTACTGGGAAATGATCCAAGTATCTAAAGAATCACAGTTTAATATAAGTTTAAGGTATTAAATTTGACTGAAGATGTTAAGGTAACCACTTAACCCAATACATTTAATTTTTATGATTTGCAGCATTCCAAGGATTCATAAGAGTTCACTCTACTAAAAGACATTCATTAATATAAGTCATTTGTGATTAAAATTTTATTTAGTTTAACATAATTTTTATTTTGTAACAAATCATAAACAATTTGTAGAAACAATGACAACACATGGACCCTAGAGAACAAATGTAGGGAATTTAAAATATTAAAATCATTAGAAATCGGACCCAAGGCTTGTATTAACTGAAAGACTGCACTATTATTTTTATTGTGCTAAGAAAGAAAAAAGTTGTTTTTAAGTTAAAATTTAGTCGCTCTAATTTGTTCAAAAAGTTGCATATTAATCAAGACTATTGCATGAACTCATTTTAACATACATACACATCTATACTAATACATCAAATGCCTTAAAAACTTGTGAATTCATGCCAAGATCTCTAATAGTCTAGCTGTTGTTACTGAGGAACATAAGCCATTGCCAAGCAACCTTGAAACCTTTTTTTCTGAATTAGTTTTGGTAATGGATAAAAAAGACATTTTCTTTTCTTTTTCTTTTTCTTTTTTTTTTTTTTTGAGACGGAGTTTCGCTCTGTGGCCCAGGCGGGAGTGCAGTGGTGCAATCTCGGCTCACTGCAAGCTCCGCCTCCCGGGTTCACGCCATTCTCCTGCCTCAGCCTCCCGAGTAGCTGGGACTACAGGCGCCCACCATCACGCCCGGCTAATTTTTTTTGTATTTTTAGTAGAGACGGGGTTTCACCGTGTTAGCCAGGATGGTCTCAATCTCCTGACCTCGTGATCCGCCCGCCTCGGCCTCCCAAAGTGCTGGGATTACAAGCGTGAGCCACCGCGCCCGGCCAACATTTTCTTTTCTTATGGACATTTTTTAATATTTATCTAGGCTAGATAGATGCACTACAGTATGCATATAGTAACAGAGCAAAGTTTCCTTAGAAGAGAAAAATGAGAAAAATAATAAAATAATTGAGAAAGCTATCTGCAGACAGATATAAAATAGTTATCATAAAAGTCTAATTTTCTTTACATTCCAGGTTTGAGAGAAAGCTTAAATCTAGCAAAACCCATTTAACACCCACAATGGAGATATTACATCTAGTATAACAATAACTCAGACCCATGGCAATTCCATCTAATTATATGATTAAAACTCCATTGGATATTCATCCCTGAAATAAGTTACCAAAAGAGGGAGATTGTATACATTACACAGTCCTCCCAGAGAAGGGAGGGAGAAATGGGGGAGAGCGGGAGAGATCTCCAAATGTGAATGATTTCTGCTATGGTTATAATTAGCATCTTAGATGAACAATCATGTTCACGTGAAAAGTTCCCCAAAGTAACTAGTGGAATTTTATGTTTTGTTTGGTTGATTTATGCCAGTTAGAGAAATATACACATGAATTGGGAGATTATTTTGGCCTAGAAGGTTTAATTGTCTAAGCACAATATATGAGACCAGCAATGCCCAGTAAGAAAGGAACTCCCAAAATGAGAATTTCTACCAGCAACGTTTTTCCTTTTCTCCAAGTGTGTTCTATACTTCAACCAAAGGAACCTTCTCAGTGACCTGAAACCCACACATGCTGTCTTGCCAATGCCTTTGCTTATGTTCTCTCAAAAATGACATCTGCAATAGGACCTTCCCCATGTTTATTAACCACAATAAATGAACTAACATTCACAAAATTCACCTTGATTGACACTTTTCTAAGTCATTTTGGATTTTTGTGTGTATATCTTATTCTATGTAGCCCATTGGACTTACGTGTGCTCATTTCTAATGATATTTCCCTAATTCTTCCTAATATCCTAGTCACTTTATAGTAGTTATTAAATATCCTCAATTATAATGCTGGTCCTCTGAGAGGAACTCTCTTATTCATTTTCATCTCAGAAGTGCCAACACACCATTTGCAATTAGATTGATTTAGTTATGAAATTTGAATACGAGACTGGGCGCAGTGGCTCACGCCTGTAATCCCAGCCTTTGCGAGGCCGAGGAGGGTGGATCACCTGAGGTCGGGAGTTTAAGACCAGCCTGGCCAACATAGTGAAATCCCGTCTTTACTAAAAACACAAAAAATGTGCTGGGCGTAGCGGCGCGCTCCAGAAATCCCAGCTACTCAGAAGGCTGAGGCAGGAGAATTGTTTGAACCCGGGAGGCAGAGGTTGCAGTGAGCTGAGATTGCGCCATTGCACTACAGCCTGGGTAACAAGAGTGAAACTCCGTCTCAAAAAATAATAATAATAATAATAATAATGATAACATGAAATTTAGTCCAAGGTCGATTCAGTCTCAACACTTAGAAGTAATCCTTTTCTTTTTAGAAATATAAAATTAATACTAAATTCCGTTTTTACTACATTTACAAATAAAGGGATGCTTCCGGTTAAAGATGGCAGGTTGTATATGCACATACTGGCCTTCACTGCCTCCTAAGAAACCAATAAAGTGTTTTATTAATGTTATCAACCCAGCTAGCAAGTAATTCGTAGAGGAGACATCATTAATAAAATCTTGAAGATGAAAAGCGAATACGCCAAGTATTACATAACCAGTGGCCCTGAGAAATCTAAGTCTTGAAATGGCAGGAAGAAAGCTAGGAAGCCTCATGATGCAACACTCATGGTGCATCTCTACAGGGCCCGGTAACAGTCAGGGACTTGTGACACTGGGTGCCTCTGGTAGGGAAGTGACAGTGGGCTTATAAGGAAAGTCTATATATATAGCAAGAGAAATATATGTATATATTTTTCTATATGTATGTAGACATATAGAAATATATATTTCTATATATAGACTATATATAATATGTATTCTATAAAAATATTACATATTTTATAATATATAAAATATTATATATTTTAAATATATAAATATCTAATAAAATAATATATATTATAAATATATAATAAAATAGTATATATTATAAATATATAAACATGTTTATAATATATGTGATATATTATAAATATATATTATTTTATATCATATTTCTATTATATTATGTATTATAATATTGAGACTGCAGTGAAATGATGAAACCCCTGAACTCCGGCCAAAGCAACATAAAGGGACTCAATCTCAAAACTTATATAAATTTGAATATTGTTATATATTATAAGGAACTTCTCTCTCTATAGAAATATATATATATATTTCCATTAAATTTCCTGATTTTCCTCTTGACTTCATGCTTTCATATGAATGTCCCTCCCTAATCTAGACTTAAGACGGCAGTTTCGTTTTTTTTTCCCGAACTTCCTTTGGTGTCTGTTAGTAGAGAAAACCAGATATATTTAAGGATAAGTTTTCAAAATAAAAGCAAGAGAATAAAGTAAAAATTTACACACTGAAAGTTGAGTTCCCTAAATTCATTATGCATCCAAAACTAAGAACCATGATATAGAGTATTATAGTCTCCACAGGAAGAGGTTTTGTTAAAATTTTGACCAAACTTTACTCAGAAAGAAAATAGGTGGACAATTATTCAGGACACCCACCATCTGAATAGTAAGAGACTCAATAATAGAAAATGGAGAAATCGCATAGGAATAAAGCATTAAAGAAAAATAAATAAATAAAATGTCCCAGAAAAACAAAAATGTTCGTATTGGAAAAGGCCATTAAATGACCAACCCGAAGATTGAAATAGAATAAAATGAAATGTAAACTTATATTTGTTTCATTAACAAACACTACCTATTTACATGATTTTAAAAATATTTTCTAAATATAGTAATATTGACACTTTTGAGATTTTGAAAGTGAAACGTTTACAGATCAAAGGCATAATTTTTAACTAATTACAGCTTTGTATTTGGAGATGTGTATAATATTTTCAAATATTCTGAGGGAGGAGAGTCAATAAGTACACTTTTATTCCAATTAAAGTTTGATGAGCATATATAAAAATGACATGTTTCCCCAAGAGAAAGATAGAATAGATTGCAATTGTGATCAACTACAAGAATTTTTATTCTCTTATACTAAGATTAATTGCCTTTTTTAATTCAAACATTGTCGTAATTTGTTTTCTTTATTATCACAGAGAGAAAAAAATAGGCAACTCAGTGTCATATCCTCCAGCACTTCTTATACAGTATAATATTTCTTGAATCTCATCTACATGGTGTATACATATATTTATTGTGCTGAAAGCCAATTGCCTAATGTTTTCTAAGTTGTTCAAGGCAGTAAGCCAGGATTTTTATGTTATAAGCATATTGATCTTGACAGTAAAGAGAGTTTGAGATTTCTGTATTAATTACCCTGTTTACATAAAAATGAGCTTTATGTTATGTGTGCATTCTTATTAAAACATTTTCAAAATCACAGAACAATTACAGGAATTGCTAAAATGGTATGAGATGACTAATTTAACATGATGCAGCTACATCATTATTCACATATTGTAAAAATAGACACAGATTTAGTAATTGTAATAAACTTAGTTTTAAGAAAATGCGTGTAGTTTTTAACATATATGCCTACTCAAAATAATTAATTCTATTATGAAAGTACATAGTAGTTTTTTTTTTGTATTTGTTATATTACATAAAATGATAAGCATAAAATACTGTGACAAGTATATGTTGAAAATAGTATCTAATTCTATATTAGATAAAATCCTATTACACATATGTTAAAAAAGGCATTTTGTGTTGACTCCATTCTTTGGAGGAATTTCTCTCAGAGAGAGTTATAACAAAAGAACCTTTGAGAATAAATAATTTAAAAGGGACAAAGAAATTTGCCTATGTGAAGGCTTTCAGAAGAAATAATTAGTATGAAATATGCTGAAAAGTCCCCAGTGGAGGTTGATTAATTTTTTAAATGTAGCTTAAGGGTAATGATTTTGCCACTTTTGAAGTCTATTAACTCAAAAGTCTTCTATATCTCAGACCCTCTACAAGTTTACCCTCCTTTCTTTTTCTTTGTTCAGAATACGCCTAAACTACCTTCCAATATTGCCTTAGCATTGAAATTAGAGTTAAATTCACATTTTTAATGTTTGAGAGGACCAGCCATGGTGGTTCATGCCTGTAATGCTAGTACTTTGGGAGGCCAAGGCAGGAGGATTGCTTGAAACCAGGGGTTTGAAACCAGCCTAGGTAAAATAGAGAGACCTTGTCTCTACAAAAATAAAAAATAAAAAATTGGCTGGGCATGATGGAGCATGCCAGTAATTCTAATTACTTGGAAGGCTGAGGCAGAAGGATCATGTGAGCCCAGCAGTTTGAGGCTGCAGTGAACTGATGAAACCTTTGCACTCTGGCCAAAGCAACAGAAAGAGACTCAATCTCAAATAAATAAACAAATAAATAGATAAATAAAAAGTTGCAGTGAAGCTTCATAATTTACTATACCTTTCAAACATATTTGGCCAGTAGACTCTCACAGTCATCTCTGGGAGGGTTTTATTATCCCTAATTCATTGTTAAGGAAATAAATTAGGACCAGAAGAATTAGAATTGCACAGGAGATAAATCAAAGACCTAGCACCTTAAGCACAGGTTGGTTAACATTGGCTTTAGTAATCTTTCTCTTATTTCACAGATATCATTATTTTATATTATCCCAAGTTAATGAGTCATTTAATCGTGTGAACAACCTGCTTATTTCTTGTCCAATACGTAACTTGGAACGTGACTTGGGTGATCCAGAGGAACTTAAGTACTTGTGATGTGGAAATTTTGGACACTATCATTTGTTTTCTAGGTATTAATATAAATAAATAGAAAGCGTGCCATTTCCCCATCTACTGACCATATCATACTTTCCTTTCTTCCCAGTACACAGAGTAACTGAACTTTAATTTTACCACAAAACTATTCGTTCTAGAACATGATCTCTTTCCACCATTTATATCTTGCAACATCTTGGCAGTTTTGTTTCTTAAAATGCAGAAAAGTAGTTTATATATTTTCCCAGGACTGTATTAAGTTTCTTACTACAATTCTGCAACTCTCCATAACTTATTTTTTGCTAGTATCGGGACAACTATTTGTGTTTCTCAGTTACTATATAGTATTTTCTATTATAATGTTAAGTAGTTGTTTTAGTTCCAGTATAATATTAAAAACAGGCAAACCTATGAAACAATAGTTGACTCTATTGGATGGAATACAACATTCACTGCATTGTATTTCACTAGCTTTTCAAATTACTTTAAGCAGAAATTATTCATCAAGCCATAGGCATATATAAGGCATTATACTTTATGACCTAGGAAAATAAATGCAATTTCTAAAGACAATTTTCTTAGCTTGAAGTAGAAACCCAATACAAGTAATTTTGTATCAAATATTGTATAATTCTCAAAAAGCATAACACAATTTTCAAAATTATGTTTCTATTGATTTTATTTTTAAATTTAGAAAAGATTATTGGCTCATATAAAGAGACACAACTCAATAGAATTAAATACCAAAATGCATGCAATAAATGTTCAAGTATAAACATTGGTGAAATGATGTTCTCTTAGTTTTTAGAAGTTTTATTAGTGGTCATTTTTGGAGATTTACACCCTAATTCATACTCTTTTATATTCATCTGAACCAAAAGTTTATATTTCATCCAACTCTACAAACTATATGATTTTACTTATCACAACTACTTTTGTTATATACGTCCACTATGCTTGAGTTATGACACTGCTTCTTCAGTTAATGGTAGCATTTCAAGCCATTCATCATTAACCAAACCAAAAAAAACTGCATAAATATTTACAATGAAATAGTTTTTGGCAGCCTGTAGTAATATATGTGATCTATATTTATCAGAAGAAAAATATGAGTTTTAAGAATGAGGAAAAAGTCCTTCAGTTTATTGCATTCTAATACATTAACACATTTTGTCTTGAATTTCAGTAACTTCTGGAATAGCAACTGATTCTGTATTTGTACACAGTGGATTTACCTGTACCTATTATAAGTCCATTCTGGTATGTTTGGGTTCAGGACCAAAGACCAAAGATATTAACATGTAAAATTAAATAATGTTATTGCACTATAAGTAGTAAGAGGAAAAAAACACGTTATTATTCATAATCAGTTATTCTAGCCTTAAAAAAGTTATAACCTGAAAACAATATTTCTCCATTAGTGAGTGAAATAATATTAGCTTTATAAATTAACTTTCACAAAATTTCTGTTACATTTTAGTATATTAGCAATGTAGCATAGTATGAATTTCCAAACGCATTAAATCACCTTTGTCATTACCTTGCCCACTAAATTAAATGATGCATCAGTGAGTTTTTACTGTTAGGAATTTAGGGTACCATTCAGCCCTTCTCTCTCCAGCTTTAAAAAGATATGATACATGTGTTGTTTGTCAAATGAGAGATAAAACATTTCTTTAGTAAGTGTTAGCAAAAACTGACAGAATTAAACTGGAAATCTGGCATAGAAAGTGAGGTGTTTAAAGGAATAAACTATTGGAATCCAGATGCCCAGGAAGGAATGTCAGAGAGAGGGGAGTTGCAGATCTTTGCTATACAGTTTTGAAACACTTAGTTCAACAGGTTCAATAAGAGTCAGGCTCATGACAACTTGTGTATGGTTGTCGCCTTGCTCTCTCTCAAGCCGGATGCAAATGAGGACACACTTGGCCCTCACTGTGCTGGAAGCCATCCTATTCCACCAGGAAGGCTCATTTTAGAGTAAAGCTGGCACTGTTCATGACAGGGTATGGAGAACCTGCGTCATTGGCGACCTTGTTGAGCTAGTGACTCTACCAAACTTTTATAAACTCTGTTGCTGTCAATGGCTATTCTATTTTCTTGAACCAATACGTACACTGTAATATGTAAGTTTTTCTACACAAGAGAAGCCAGTTTATTTTGCATATACAATTGTGGATGGAAGAACTGTAGGATTAAAAGAATCTGAAGAATCTGTCATTGGTATTATTGGTTGCTGTATGAGCCAAAATGGAAACCCACGTGTTCACTCTGGGGGCACATCATACACCTATCTATGATTCAGCATGGAGACAGCCAGTAGGAAAAATTTAGGAAGTTGTACCTTGAGATCTGCTTGTTGCCTTCAGTAAGGTCCCATGATGCCTCTGGTGGTAATTTATAAACTAATACCCTGTCTTTAATAATTCAGCCAAATCAAATTTGAATTTCTGTTTACCTGCTAAACAGAACTATTTATATTTATTTACTTTTTCATTTACTTATTTATTATTGGTAGAAACTATTTTACATACTTATGGGGTACATGTATTTGTTACAATAATAGAATGTGACTAGGTACAGCGGCTCACGTCTGTAATCCCAGAACTTTGGGAGGCTGAGGTGGCAGGATCACTTGAGCCCAGGATTTTGAGACTGGCCTGGGCAATATAATGAGAGCTCATCTCTAAAAAAAAAAAAAAAAAAAAAATTAGTCAACCATAGTGGCACATGCCTGTAGTCCCAGCTATTCATAAGGCTGAGGTGGGAGGACGGTTTGAGCCTAGGAGGTTGAGGCATTAGCTACTGCACTCCAGCCTGGATGACAGAGTGAGACCCTGTCTCAAAAAAATTACAATGGAATGTGTAATGATCAAGTCAGGGTATGTAATGTATCATCACAATGAGAATATGTCATTTCTTTGTGTTAGAAACATTTCAAGTCCTCTCTTCTAGCTACTTTGAAATATACATTACATTGTTGAAAAATACAGTCACTCTACTCTGCTATGGAATATTGGGCTTTTTTTTTGTATTTAAGTGTATGTTTGCACCCAATAATCAGTCTCTCTTTATCCTCCCTCCCAGACACAAACCCTTCACAGCATCTTGCATCTATCTTTCTATTCTCCGTCTCCATGAGATTGTTTGTGACTCCCACATGTGAGTGACAACATGTGGTGTCTCTCTTTCTGTGCCTAGCTTTTCTCACTTAACATAATGACCTCTGGTTCCATCCATGCTGCTGCGAATGACATGATTTTATTCATTTTTATGGCAGAATAGTATTCCATTGTGTGTATGAACCACATGTTCTTTATCCATTCATCCATTTAGTTTGATTCTGTTTTTTTGCAATGGTGAATAATGCCACAATAAACATGCAAGTGCAGGTGTCCCCTTGGTATACAGATTTAATTTCCCTTGGATAAAAACCTAGTAGTAGGATTGCTGGATCAAACAGTAGTTTTATTTTTAGTTTTTTGAGAAATCTCCATACTGTTTTCCATAGTGGCTGTAGTAATTTACATTCCACTAAGTGTATGAGTTCCCTTTTCTCCCCAGCCTCGTTAGCATCTGTTTTTTTTTCTGTTTGTTTGTTTGTTTTTTGTCTTTTCAATAATAGCCATTCTTACTGGTGTAAAATGATACATCATTTTGGTTTTGAGTCGCATTTCCCTGATTATTAATGATGTCGAACCATTTTTCAAATACTTATCAGCCATTTGTATGTCTTCTTTTAAGAAATGTCTATTTATGCTCTTTGCCCACTTTTGAATTATTTGTGTCTGTTTTATTGCTGAATTGTTTGAGTTCCTCATGTATTCTGGATATTAGTCCTTTGTCAGATGAATAGTTTGCAAATATTTCCTCCCTTTTAACAGGTTGTCTCTTCATTCTGTTTCTCTCTGCTGTGTAGAAGCTTTTTGGTTTCTTATAGTTCCATATGTCTATTTGTGTTACAGTTAGTTGTCTGTGCTTTTGAGGTCTTAGTCATAAAATATTTATCTAGACTGATGTCTTGAAGTATTTTTCTTGTATTTCTTTTTCTAATAATTTTATAGTTTCAGTTCTTATGTGTAAGTCTTCAATATATATTGAATTGAATTTTATGTATGGGGAGAGATAGGAGTCCATTTTCATTCTTCTGCTTATGGGTAATTCCCAATACCATTTATTGAAGAGGATTTCCTGTCCTCAGAATTGTTCTTGGCATATTTGTCAAAAATCAGTTGGACGTAAATACTTGGATCTATTTCTGGACTCTTTATTCTGTTCCATTAGTCTACATTCTGTTTTTATACCAATGTGAAGCTGTTTTGATTATTATAGCTTTATAATATATTTTGTCAGGTAGTGTGATGCCTATAGCTTCATATATTTTGCTCAGTATTGCTTTGACTATTTGGTGTCTTTTGTAGTTTTATACAAATTTTAGGATTTTTTTTAATTCTGTGAAAAATGATGTTGATAATTTGATAGAGATTGCATGGAATCTGTAGATTGCTTTGAGCAGGATTATCATTTTAACAATACTATTTTTTTTTCAATTCATGAGCATGCAATGTCTTTCCATGTTTGTTTTCTCTTCAATTTTTTGCATTAGTGTTTTGTAGTTTTCCTTGTAGAAATCTTTCACTCCCTTTGTTAAATTTATTCCTAGCTATTTTAATTTTTTATAGTTATTGTTAATGATATTGCCTTCTTGATTTCTTTCCCAGGTAGTTCATTATTGAAGTATAGAAATGCTTATGATTTTTTATGTTGATTTTGTACACTGCAACTTTACTGAATTTCTTTATCAAAACTAGGGGTTTTGTGGTAGAGTTTTTAGGTTTTTCTAGATGTAAGATTATATCACCAGCAAGGATGAATAATTCAACTTCTTCTTTTCCAATTTGGATGACTTTTATATCTTTCTATTGCCTGATTGCTGTGGCTAGGATTTCCAGTACATATTGAATAGGAATGGTAAAAGTGGACAACTTTATCTTGTTCCAGAGCTTAAAAGAAAGGCTTTCAGCTTTTCCCCATTCAATGTAATTATAGCTGTGTGTTTGTTATGGCCAGTCTTTATTATTTTGAGGTATGTTTCTTCTACTTCTATTTTGTTGAGAGTTTTTATCATGAAGGGATATTGATTTTTTTTCCATTTTTTTCTAGATCTATTGAGGTGATCATACGGTTTTTGCCCTTTGTTCTGTTAATGTGAAGTATCACATTTATTGATTTGTATATTGTGAACCATTTTGGCATTCCTAGTATAATTCCTACTTTGTCATGGCATATTATCTTTTTGATGTGCTGTTGGATTCAGTTTGCTAGTATTTTGTTGAGGATTTTTGCATCTGTGTTCATCAGAGATATGGGCCGGTAGTTTTCTTTGTTGCTGTATCCTTATTTGGCTTACTATTTTGAATTATTTATTCAGGATTTTGTGAACATTTTTTGTTTGAATCTGTTATTGGAGCATTACAGTGTTCCTGAAGAGATGTCATATTTCCTTGATTTTTTCATGTTTCCTGTGACCTTACATTGATGTCTGCACATCTGTTGTAATAGTCACTTCTTCCAACCTTTTGAATTTGCTTTCATAGGGAAGGATTGTTTTCCTAAAGATGTATATATGTTGTTGGTTGGTAGGGCACTTTGGCTTTAACTTTGGGTACATGCAGGAGTGTGGTCTCTACATGATTTCTTTGGCGGTAAACAGCATCAGTTGTATCTGTTATTTCCTTGCTTGCTCAGGGAGCATTTATGAGTGGAGACTGTGGTGAAGTTTTGCTGGGGAATAGAATGTCATGTAGGCCAGTCTTTGGCACCAGTGGTGGTAGCAGTGTTCTGAGCATGCCTGTCCTTGAGCCCCAGAACACTGTATGCTGGCTTTGTGTTAACAGGTTTAGGTGAGCCAATTCTCGGGCCTCCAGATGGCTTGCTTGGATGCTGGTAGTGGCAGCAGTGAGCTGGGCATGTGAGAGGTTTCTCAGTCCCCTTGGCCATGGTGTGATGTGGGTGATATTATTAGCAGTTGTGGGGGCAACCCACTGGAACCCAAGTGGTTCATGCTGGCACTAGTGGTGGCTGCAATGGGCTGGGCAGGTCAGTCCACACAGGTGGCTCATGCCAGGGGGTGCCAACTGTTGGATCAGCAGGTTACTTTGTCCTGATCTCAGACTCTGGGAGGAGGGCTTGGGGCCAGCAGAGGTGGACTGGGCTGGAGGATATCCAGGCCCCTTGATGGCATGCTCAAATCCTGGGGGAATGGGACTTGGCTGGTGGGCTTGTCCTCAGGTGCCCTTGTTATGGTGCATTCAGGTGCTCACTATGATAGGGGCAGAGTATTCCCCAGGCCTCCTGAAGAAAGCTTAGGTGGGGGCAGTGGTGGCTGCCCTAGGGATCTGCCTCCAGGGATGGCAGGGCTGCTTGCAGTAGGAGTAGCTTACTGGGGCAGCTGTGGAGCTGGTGGTTTTCTGGTGCCTCCATCCCACAGCAGCCCATGGAAGTGGAAGTGGCATTTGTCCTTGGAGCATGTGGAAGTTTCTGGCCTCTCCTCTTACTCCTGCAGCAGCAGAAGTATCAGTTTCAGGGCACAAAGTCCTTTGGGGATCTGTTTTCAGATTGGTGCCAGCCGTGGGCCCACCACCTGGAAGGACGGGGCATGTCTTAGTGGGAGAAGTGTGGGAAGGCAGCTACGGGCTTACAGTTTCTCTGTGTCTGGGTGCCACAACAGCCCGAAGCATCATTGGCAGTGAGGTTTGTTTTCGAGATGTGTGAAAGTACCCAGCCTCCACTCTTTCTCCTTGGCAGTCCTTCGGGGGCTCAACTCCCTTGCATGTCGCAGCTGCTCAGGGCTTGGAAGCCTGGTGACTCAGCATGAGTGTCCCCTCTGGAACAACAAACACCTCTGCACAATCTGTAGGCAGTTCTCTGTCTTGAGGCCCATGAGGATTAAGGGAGTTTCCTGTGATTAGGTTTGTGGAAGTCTGTGCAGGAATGTGGAGCACGGGGGTCCCTCACTTACCCTTTCCTGGCCTCCAGGAGCTTCTCCCAGCTGCCAAGCAGGCTGCCTGGTTCCCTCTCCTTTGCTTTCAGTGCTTCCCTTCCCTTCTCTGTTGAGTCCCAGTGCTCTCTCTCTTAGATGATCTATCCAATGTGTCAATATCTACTTGCTATTTCAGTTCCTCTCCAAGCAAGAGGCATACACTGGCTGCTTCTGGTCAGCCTTGTTGGATTTCCCTCCTCTAGAAATCTTAACTGGTTAGCATTTTCTTCATCAGTACACCAGCCACTCTGAACTAAGCTAGCATTATTAGTTCAGTGACCTGGACCAGTGACGTGTATTAGCCTCTTGTCTTAACTAGTTCTAAATTTGTCCACATTTCATTCTTCAAACTGAATCCAAACTTTGTGTTAAGAATAAAAATATCATCATGTTTTGGCCTAACTTAAAATCTCCCAAAGGTTTTCCAAACCTTTGAGAATAAAGGACAAAAGCCTTATCATCTCCCACAAGGTTCTTTCATGGACTGGCTTCTATCTATGTTCTTAATCTCAATTTTTCTAAAATCTTCCTTCATTTTCCATGCTCTAGCCAAAATCTTTCTTTCTTTCAATCCTTTGAGGGTACCTTGATTTGTCTTGCAATAGGTGCTTGGTACATAATATTCTACATATGTACTATATACTTAATTGATTTTAAAAGCTAGTTAATTCACATAATACAAGATGCTTATTAAAACAGACTAATGCTTAAGATTAACTAACATACTAATAAAAAGCCCTGTTCAAAGCCTTAGACAAGTTAACTATATATAAGAGTGGTTGGTTAAAAAATAATAATATAAAAGATAGGAATACTTGGAGGATCCAATGTAAACTCAGTTTCTTTTTGGAAAATAACATCTCAAACTGTATCACTCTACTTACAGAGAAGTAAGATGGCCTTATTTTCAAATTTAAAAATAGAATTCTTTCTTTTTCACTTTGTGTATTTAAATTATGATTCAACTGTACTATTACAGAAATGTGTTAAGATTAATGTAATTTTTCTTTGCTTTAGCTTTTAATACTTATATGTAGAAGCATATAAAATGTGTGTGTACATTTATTTGACAATCTTTGTACTTTAAATCAGAACTATTTTCATAACATGTCTGAGTTCAATAGTTCATCAAATATTTGAATTCTGTTCTTAAAGTGGCACCTAGACAAATTACAGTTACTAAATTTTCCAGAAATTAAAATTAAGCTTTTAGGGAAAATGTCAACCTGCAAATATTTTTCTTCCTTATTATTAATTATACTCTGATGTATATCCCCAAGTTTGACCTCCATTTATTTGCCAATTAGTATATTACAGACTGCTATTCTTTTTATACCTCTCTTCTCAAGATCCTTTACTATAGCTTCCAAACAAAAAGTAATTGATTTGTTTGTTTTTTGCTCCTACTGCTTCTCAGCAAGAGACAGTTCTTAGTTAATCTTGAGAGTGCTTGTTAATTGTTGCATCTACGCCTAGAATTTTTCCAGTCATTTTCTTTCCAGATGATTTTTTTGCTGTTGAAGGCAGAACAGGTCAGGTTATCTAGCTCCTGGTCCAGTTATTCCCATACGTATGACCTACTGGTTTATGGTTATTTTATGTTTTTAATCGGTTTTCTCAAGCATACCAAGGTTTCCTACTGAACTTGGTCCTATTTCATCTCTCCTTTGATTCTGTAATCTTGACTAACACATGTCTAGGCATATAATAAGTGCTACAATTTTGAGTTTTTAAATTTATGAATATAAAGTATTTTTCTGTTAGGAAAATACTCAAAGATGTTAGCAAAATAGTTCAAGGAATATAATGGAGGGTTCTATAAAATACGTTTCTAAAAGGCACCTATGTGTTATAAATTATTTTCAAGGAATATATACATGATTTAAATAATTTATTCACACAAAAAATTACTCACGAATTTATTTAATTGACAGATGCCATTGTTTGTCTACTCAGTAGGCATTACTCCATTGAGCACCTTTCTTCTTTGCTTACAGTTATCAGAGTCCAAGCAACTTGGGAGTGAAAGTTAAATAGCCTAAGCCAATTTTAATGATCTACTTTTCTTGACAGTGATTGGTTGATAAGTGGGAATATGTTAAAGCAAGACACACTTTTCAATGCAAAAAAGGAAATATGATCTTCCAGGAGTGGAGGGATCTCTAAAAATAATTTCTCTTGAATATGTGCAATATATAAGCACACTTTATTCAGCTCTTAATGTTGCTATTTGAGTGACCAAAGATAAAATATTGAGGCTGACAAAGGGAAAAGAAAAGCTTCTGATGACATGATAGAATCATTGAATTAATCAATCCAGGAACAATATACTTGAGAATTTTTTTTAAGTACATAAAACATGTATATTGCCTAAATAATTTTTGAGGTGATTTTTCTGTTATTGTGTCTGTGGCTATGGAAACTGACACCATGTTTTAAGGAAAAATGTGATTGATCACAAATTTTCAGTTAATTTATTCACTATTTTTCTTTCTAAAAGACAGGGTTTTCACATATTCTGACAGTCACTATGAATGATTTTGAGTGTTTAAAAATAGCACACAGGGACAAAATATTCAGCCTAATTATTCTTATTTGCCTGTAAATTTTACTCTTCAAATTTAGCAAATTGCTTGAGATTTTGTGTGTTCGAAGAGCTTAAAAGATACCATTAGCACTCTGAGATTAGAGTAAAATGGTGGCATCTCCTCAGTCCTTCAAAGGTATTGATGCTCTCACTTTGTGTAGCAGAATTGATGACATAAACTTTAAAATGCATTTAAGAAGTCAAATAAAGCTGCTTCTTTAAAATGTGAAATCTTAAAGGCATGAATTGATTTTTTTCTCTTTGTATGTATTTTTTTAAGAACCTTGTTGTTCAGGGAATTAAATATGGTGGTCTCTTTTGGGTGACACTTTTATGCCTGTTTTCTAGGAAAAAAATGGTGGAAAAATGTGTTTATAGTGTCTTTAAAGAAAGTCTATTTTTTTTCTGAGTTATTAGAAAGTATTTTTCCATTAAATCCTGTTTACATATTAAAAAATTTTAATATTTCTTTAAAAAGTTAAGCAAAAATGTTTCCTTGTCTTCAGCTTTTAGCGTATGAAGCAAAATACATTGTTTTGCCTTTAAACATTTGTTAACACAGGTGTAAGGGACATCAAATTTCAAAAGATGTTTTTATTTTATTTTATTTTTTATTCATTCATTTATTTATTTATTTTGAGATAGTCTTGCTCTGTGGCCCAGGCTGGAGTGCAGTGGTGCATTCTCAGCTCATTGCAACCTCCGCCTCCCGGGTTCAAGCGATTCTCCTGCCTCAGCCTCCCGAGTAGCTGAGATTACAGGTGCGCACCAATACACCTAGCTAATTTTTGTATTTTTAGTAGAGACGGGGTTTCACCATGTTGGCCAGGCTGGTCTTGAACTCCTGACCTCAAGTGATCTGCCCACCTCGGCCTCCCAAAGTGCAGGCGTGAGCCACCACGCCTGACCCGAAAGATGTTTTTAAAAAGGAATAAAGGTTGAGCATGGTAGCTCACACCCTAAGACCCGGCACTTTTGAGGTCAACCTCTTACTTATTTGTGCATTGTCACTAGAAATATGAAGGTAGATTATAATCATCAAGCATTTATGTCAATACTAAATGAATAAAAAAGTGAAATGTTACTTCTTCAGGCTTCTATTACTATAGATATATGTTAAGGCAAATTGTTTTAGAATTGTGAAATTAAAACTAAATACATATTTATTATTAACCAGCGGTTATTACTTAAATATCCATACACTACACTGAGGCAGGAGCATCTCTTGAGCCCAGGAGTTTGAAACCAGCCTGAGAAACATGGTGAAACCCTGTCTCTGCAAAAAAAAAAAAAAAAAATTAGCCAGACTTGGTGGTAGACTCCTTGTAGTCCCAGCAACTTGGGAGACTGACTTGAGAGGATCACATGAGCCTGGTAGGTTGAGGCTGCAGTGAGCTTCGATTGTATCACTGCACTCCAGTCTGGACAACAGAGCAAGACCCTGTTTTAAAAACAATAACATAAAATTAATTAAAATCAATAAAAATATTAATACAAATTAATAAAAATATCTCAAAGAGCTATTTTAGAACTTCAGCTCTGCAAATTATATAAATAGCTGAAAAAAATTAAATTTAAATATATGAAGTTTCGGCTCAAATGTTTAAATAATAACTGCTGATTAATAATGAATATATATTTAGTTTAAATTTCACATATCTAAAACAATTTGCCTTAACATATGTCTATAGATATAGAAGACTGCAGAAGTTACATTTCAAATTTTATTCATGTAGTAGTGGTATAAATACTTGATTAGAATTTACTTCGTATTTCTGGTGATAATGCATAAATAAGTAAAAGGTTGACCTCAATGTATATAGTTTATTTATTTTCAGGAAAAAAATGTGTTAATTTGTCACATTTATAGGAATATTTATTTTTATGGATATGGTTTGTTATACGAATGCAATGGTAGGCACAAATGCAGATGGAGATGACAAAATTTAATGAATTTTTTGGTCATAATATGAATCTTGCAAGCATTTATTAGGGTTCAAATATGTAATAAAATAGACAAAGGTGTTATCTCTACTATTAGAGAGGAATGGGCTTCTATATTTACCTGATATGTACATAAAAATATAAAGCATAAATATGCACCATAAGCCAAGAAGTGAAAGCATAAGGAAACTTCTTATGTACATTAAGTACAGAAATACTTGAAACCTAAAATATGACCAAGGGTCATTGGGTGTTCTCTGCTGTCACAAGGTATCTGTCATGACATCAGACTCAGCACTTAGGGTAAATTTTATTCCAAATAACACAAATCCAATTCTGAAACTATAACCAACTAACAACATATATTTTATAAAATGTTTGTGGAAACACAAATGGGGGATTATATGGGATTATATAACATTCTAGACAGCAAATTTGTAAAAATCTCATGCAGACATCACTAAGACCCAGCTTCTCTTCTTGACCTTTGTTGCTGGTTTCCATTTCCCACCAACACTTTAACTCTCCAATTTCCTCATGTCCATCCCAAATTGCTGTAAGGAAGGACATAGACAGAATGAGTTCCATTAGATCACTAGGTATCTGGAGCAAAGTGGTGCAGAAAGGAGAAGGAGATGCCTTTCAGAGGATAAAATAAGATTTCAACTGTCTAAAGATTAAAAAGAGAATTAAAAAAAACACAAAAATACAAGTAACCAAAAGAACTTAATCATTCCCCTTCGATTATTTTCTAGAAGTAGTTATTTAACATATTTTTTGCACAAATACTTTCTGAACAAAGTGAAACATGAATAAAAGAAAATAATTTTTTAAAAACCACAATCTTATATAATGGACTTTGTTCTTCCCAGTTTATTAAAGACAAAATTGAAGGTTAGGAAAGTCAAGCACTTTTCACAAAGCGACACATCCAGTAAATGGCAGAGATAAAATTAGAACCAAGATTATACTCAGTACAGGGCTGATTAGTACTCCATTCAGTTATACTCAAATAATCTCCAACAGTAGTTTGCTATTAAATGAATATACTCTATCTAAACTGTGAAGCTAGTAATATGGCAACAATATTAACATTCAGTTGAATTTTATTTATTCCACTATTTATCCATCCTCCCATCCATCCATTCCACAATAAAGTAACAAAAACTACTATGCATCTGTCAACTTATGAAAAAGTATGAACAAAAGTCAGAACTGATTCATTTTCTGAAGTCTCAAAACGAGAGGTTAATGTAATCAAAACAAATTCATTATGGGTGAAATTCCAGGAGAATAAATTTTTCTAAACTTTATCTCCAGAAGGACCTTTCACAGTTGGCAGTACGTAATCAAGATAAGGACAAAGATGTTATATAAGAGAGTTCTTCAGAGAAACCAATAGGATTTCTGCCTATCAGTCTGTTTATATATTTATCTATCTCTATACATATTATCTATATATAAAGCAATATATAGGTATATTAAAGGGGATTTATTTGGGGAACTAGCTCACATGACTTAAAAAAAAAAGAAAGAATAAATATTTTCTAGATAAATAGACTGAGGGTGGGTGTGATGGTTCACGCTTTTAATCCCAGCACTTTGGGAAGCCAAGACAGGTGGATCATGAGGTCAGGAGTTCAACACCAGCCTGGTCAACACAGTGAAAACCCATCTCTACTAAAAATACAAAAATTAGCTGGGCATGGTGGCGGGCGCCTGTAATACCAGCTACTCAGGAGGCTGAGGCAGGAGAATCACTTGAACCTGAGAGGCAGGGGTTGCAGTGAGCCAAGATCGCACCACTGTACTCCAGCCTAGGTGACAAAGCTAGACTCAGTCTCAAAAACAAAACAAAACAAAAAGATAAATAGACTGAGTATAATTTTTCCATGTCACTCAATTGAAAAATATTCACTGGATATTTCTTGAATGAAAAATAAACTGTTAATGCTCCTCTGCCTCTGTTCTTTTTTCTAATTAATACAATAGTTTAGAATATTTTTTGTTTGTTTTTCATTTAGCTGCAACAAATTAAAATTAACTGGCATGATACTGATGTTGAAGAATTTTTTGTGGTGAGGGAAGTCGTTCAAAACAATAGCTACAAAGAGTTGTTGAGTTTTTGCAGATCAGTTAATTCTGGAAGCAAAGTGATGCTTCATTTCTATAAGAAGAAAACTTTTCTCCAAGGAGATTTAATTAATCTAGCTAGTTAACTTTCTCCAAGCATCCATAGAATTTCATTCCATTTTGCTCACATTATGAAATGTGTTAGTACCTATTTATCATGTGCTTATTTATCTATATAATTTATCTTCTTAAGGACTACAAGCTCTTTTCAAATGACATAGATAGCTTATTTATCTTGTGTATGCCAGGAGCTGGGCATCTAGAAGTCATTTAATAATACTGTTGAGTGAATATCTCTGTCAAAATTGTTTTCTAAATATTACAAACCAAGTGCGTTATTGAAAAACTAGAGATGAGATGATTTTACTAGAACAGTAGCATTTATTAACTACACCCATTTTCTGTAGGTATTTGAAAAGCTGCTTATACTTGAGCTGTACTAATATGTCAAGTTATCAGCCATTAATAAGCAAAAGCAAGATTCACATCATCAAAATTGTGTACACCCATACCCTTAGAAATTTAGTCACTGCCCATGTCTATTAGCAGAGAGAGAAATGCACCAAATCTGAATAAAAAGTGAAATTCTCAGTGTGATATAAAAGGAAATACTTATGTCATGCAGTCGAGTGAGCTTAGAGTGAAGAAAGGGAATCTGTTCCACTGTTAGCCTACATGTTACTTTAAAATGTTGCTTATTATGTGTGTATTTAGGGAGAAAATCAGCTTCTTCTATTGTTGCTGTCTTTCTTTGATGAGTCTTTACATTTATGTCAGTGTCAACACAATTTTGAAAGGCTTGAATTTTGTTATTGGCCTGATTTCTTCTACTTTCAGCATGCCTTTAGCCCCAGATAAACATGTTCAAATTCTGTCTCATTCAGAAAGGAGCCATCTGATCACAGATAAAATTCATAAATTATTTACATAGAAACAGCCTGATGCTAAGGTAACATTGGTGCATTTTTCATTTATATCACTTTCTGAAAGCATTCATTTATTCATTCAATTATTAGGTAGTGACTAGCAGTCTTCTAGGTAGCAAGATGCCTGAGTCAAATTTTTTTCCACACCATTGTTATAAATGTTCCATACTTTGATCCACCCCATTCTCCTTCACTTATTTTTCTCACCTGTAACCACCTTCTACCAATGTAAGACTCCCTGTTGCCGGCCACAGATTACCACATAGAAAAGCTCCCCTGTGAACACCAACTGCTGAAGGTTCATTTCAAATCTGTCATAAACTAAGTAAGTTAATTTCCAGGAGATACACACAATTAAATTCTATATCAGATCTCCTTATATTATATATGATTCACCTAGGCATCTTTTTAGTTAACATTTGAATCTGTTTGTTTACATCGTTCATGAAAGCATTGTCTTTTCTTCCCATCGCTCCTATTAAGGGCACATGGACTTCCCTTCTTCCCCTCTTTATTTTCCTCCCAACCTCACTTGCCTATAATTGATAATATCCTTAAAACAAGACAAAACGATATGATTTTATTTTTCCAGTGTCATGCAATACCTTTTTTATTTTGCACAAAGCCATACAATCTTATCTTTTAAAACTAGACTGTATTAAATTGGAAACCACAGATGTGTCTCTTGGTGCCACTTTCAACACCTGCGTTACTGCAGACTACAGACCCCATGGCAGCCTAGTGAGGGAGGAGAATGAGGGGAGGGGCATGAAGGCAAAGCCTTTATAAGGCCACAGGATAAAAGCCCATGTTTATGAAAACTATCAAATAAAACCAATGTGATTGTTGGCAGAATATCACGTTACTAAGAAATCTGTTCCTTTGGTCTAGTTTACTGTCTGGTTATCTAAGAACAGATGATCAGGTTTTATGTGCTTTAACTGAAGATGATGCAGGCATTGCCTCCCATTTCTACTCAATGCATTTTGTCTGACACAACATCATGTCTTTACTTCCCAAAGATGCATTTTTTTAGTGCCTTGGATCTATGAGATTCTTGTTTCACTTTAGGAATATTTAAACAACAAACTTGTATATAAATGTAATCAAGGGTCTCTACCACTGTTATCTGTCAGCTTTCCAAGGACATATATCATTGGAGAAAAGAAAGAAAAACTTATTAAATATCAATATTTTACATATTTGAAGACAGTTTCAATCAGTAGAGATTAGCTGTGTAAAAGGTTGTTTGGAGGAGCAGAAATATCTTCTTCATGCCGTTTAATAGGCATCATAGGCATATTCATCATACTCTGCCAATGTAACAAGCCTGGTTGGCATATAATTTAATGGTTGTTTGCATTCCCTAAGTATTCTGTTTCCCAATGGATTAACTGCCATTAAAAGATCAAAATGTTTAATAAATGTTATATAAACCTGGAAAGACATATGCTGAGAAAGACCACATGCATTTCTTCATTTGTTTTGCATAATGATAAATTTAAGAAGTTTGTAATGACATTATCATTATTTATTTATAGATTCAGTTGTGTTACATCTTAATTATTTTACTTTAGTTACCAATTTTTCTTTTTACAATCTCCAAATTTTTTATTTGAAAATATATGTCTAATATACACAGAGCTCCATTTATTTCTGTAGTATAATAAATTTGTTTTTTTATTATTATAAGTTCTAGGGTACATGTGCACAATGCGCAGGTTTGTTACATACATATACATGTGCCATGTTGGTGTGCTGCACCCATTAACTCGTCATTTAGCATTAGGTGTATCTCCTAATGCTATCCCTCCCCCCTCCCCCCACCCCACAACAGGCCCCAGTGTGTTATGTTCCCCTTCCTGTGTCCAAGTGTTCTCATTGTTCAGTTCCCACCTATGAGTGAGAACATGCGGTGTTTGGGTTTTTGTCCTTGGGATAGTTTGCTGAGAATGATGGTTTCCAGTTTCATCCATGTTCCTACAAAGGACATGAACTCATCCTTTTTTATGGCTGCATAGTATTCCATGGTATATATGTGCCACATTTTCTTAATCCAGTCTATCATTGATGGACATTTGGGTTGGTTCCAAGTCTTTGCTATTGTGAATAGTGCCACAATAAACATATGTGTGCATGTGTCTTTATAGCAGCATGATTTATAATCCTTTGGGTATATACTCAGTAATGGGATGGCTGGGTCAAATGGTATTTCTAGTTCTAGATCCCTGAGGAATCACCACACTGTCTTCCACAATGGTTAAACTAGTTTACAGTCCCACCAACAGTGTAAAAGTGTTCCTATTTCTCCACATCCTCTCTAGCACCTGATGTTTCCTGACTTTTTAATGATCGCCATTCTAACTGGTGTGAGATGGTATCTCATTGTGGTTTTGATTTGCATTTCTCTGATGGCCAGTGATGATGAACATTTTTTCATGTGTCTGTTGGCTGCATAGATGTCTTCTTTTGAGAAGTGTCTGTTCATATCCTTCACCCACTTTTTGATGGGGTTGTTTGTTTTTTTCTTGTAAATTTGTTTGAGTTCTTTGTAGATTCTGGATATTAGCCCTTTGTCAGATGAGTAGATTGCAAAAATTTTCTCCCATTCTGTAGGTTGTCTATTCACTCTGACGGTTGTTTCTTTTGCTGTGCAGAAGGTCTTTAGTTTAATTAGATCACATTTGTCACTTTTGGCTTTTGTTGCCTTTGCTTTTGGTGTTTTAGACATTAAGTCCTTGCCCATGCCTGTGTCCTGAATGGTATTGCTTAGGTTTTCTTCTAGGGTTTTTATGGTTTTAGGTCTAACATTTAAGTTTTTAATCCATCTTGAATTAATTTTTGTATAAGGTGTAAGGAAGGGATCCAGTTTCAGGTTTCTCCATATGGCTAGTCAGTTTTCCCAGCACCATTTATTAAATAGGGAACCCTTTCCCCATTGCTTGTTTTTGTCAAGTTTGTCGAAGATCAGATGGTGGTAGATGTGTGGTATTATTTCTGAGGTCTCTGTTCTGTTCCATTGGTCTATATCTCTGTTTTCATACCAGTACCATGCTGTTTTGGTTACTGTAGCCTTGTAGTATAGTTTGAAGTCAGGTAGCATGATACCTCCAATTTTCTTCTTTTGGCTTAGGATTGACTTGGCAATGTGGGCTCTTTTTTGGCTCCATATGAACTTTAAAGTAGTTTTTTCCAATTCTGTGAAGAAAGTCATTGGTAGCTTGATGGGGATGGCATTGAATCTATAAATTACCTTGGGCAGTATGGCCATTTTCACGACATTGATTCTTCCTATCCATGAGCATGGAATGTTCTTCCATTTGTTTGTGTCCTCTTTTATTTCATTGAGCAGTGATTTGTAGTTCTCCTTGAAGAGGTCCTTCACATCCCTTGTAAGTGGGATTCCTAGGTTTTTATTCTTTTTGAAGCAATTGTGAATGGGAGTTCACTCATGATTTGGCTCTCTGTTTGTCTGTTATTAGTGTATAAGAATGCTTGTGATTTTTGCACATTGATTTTGTATCCTGAGACTTTGCTGAAGTTGCTTATCAGCCTAAGGAGATTTTGGGCTGAGAAGATGGGATTTTCTAGATATGCAATCATGTCATCTGCAAATAGGGACAATTTGACTTCCTCTTCTCCTAATTGAATATCCTTTATTTCTTTCTCCTGCCTGATTGCCCTGGCCAGAACTTCCAACACTATGTTGAATAGGAGTGGTGAGAGAGGGCATCCCTGTCTTTTGCCAGTTTTTAAAGGAATGCTTCCAGTTTTTGCCCATTCAGTATGATACTGGCTGTGGGTTTTTCATAAATAGCTCTTATTATTTTGAGATACATCCCATCAATGCCTAATTTACTGAGAGTTTTTAGCATGAAGGGCTGTTTAATTTTGTCAAAGGCCTTTTCTGCATCTATTGAGATAATCATGTGGTTTTTGTCTTTGGTTCTGTTTATTTGCTGGATTACGTTTATTGATTTGCATATGTTGAACCAGCCTTGCATCCCAGGGATGAAGCCCACTTGATCATGGTGGATAAGCTTTTTGACATGCTGCTGGATTCAGTTTGCCAGTATTTTATTGAGGATTTTTGCATCAATGTTCATCAGGGATATTGGTCTAAAATTCTCTTTTTTTTGTTGTGTCTCTGCCAGGCTTTGGTATCAGGATGATGCTGGCGTCATAAAATGAGTTAGGGAGGATTTCCTCTTTTCCTATTGATTGCAATAGTTTCAGAAGGAATGGTACCAGCTCCTCCTTGTACCCCTGGTAGAATTTGGCTGTGAATCCGTCTGTTCCTGGACATTTTTGTTGGTAAGTTATTAATTATTGCCTCAATTTCAGAGCCTGTTATTTGTCTATTCAGAGATTCAACTTCTTCCTGGTTTAGTCTTGGGAGGGTGTATGTGTGGAGGAATTTATCCATTTCTTCTAGATTTTCTAGTTTATTTGTGTAGAGGTGTTTATAGTATTCTCTGATGGTACTTTGTATTTCTGTGGGATCGGTGGTGATATCCCCTTTATCATTTTTTATTGCATCTATTTGATTCTTCTCTTTTTTCTTCTTTATTAGTCTTGCTAGTGGTCTATCAATTTTGTTGATCCTTTCAAAAAACCAGCTCCTGGATTCATTGATTTTTTGAAGGTTTTTTTGTGTCTCTATCTCCTTCAGTTCTGCTCTGATCTTAGTTATTTCTTGCCTTCTGCTAGCTTTTGAATGTGTTTGCTCTTGCTTCTCTAGTTCTTTTAATTGTGATGTTAGGGTGTCAATTTTAGATCTTTCCTGCTTTCTTTTGTGGGCATTTAGTGCTATAAATTTCCCTCTACACACTGCTTTAAATGTATCCCATAGATTCTGGTATGTTGTATCTTTGTTCTCGTTGGTTTCAAAGAACATCTTTATTACTGCCTTCATTTCGTTACGTACCCAGTACTCATTCAGGAGCAGGTTGTTCAGTTTCCATGTAGTTGAGTGGTTTTGAGTGAATTTCTAAATCCTGAGTTCTAGTTTGATTGCACTGTGGTCTGAGAGACAGTTTGTTATAATTTCTATTCTTTTACATTTGCTGAGGAGTGCTTTACTTTCAACTGTGTGGTCAATTTTGGAATAAGTGCAATGTGGTGCTGAGAAGAATGTTTATTCTCTTGATTTGGGGTGGAGAGTTCTGTAGATGTCTATTAGGTCCACTTGGTGCAGAGCCGAGTTCAATTCCTGGATATCCATATTAACTTTCTGTCTCGTTGATCTGTCTAATGTTGACAGTGGGGTGTTGAAGTCTCCCATTATTATTGTGTGGGAGTCTAAGTCTCTTTGTAGATCTCTAAGGACTTGCTTTTTGAATCTGGGTGCTCCTGTATTGGGTGCATATGTATTTAGGATAGTTAGCTCTTCTTGTTGAATTGATCCCTTTACCATTATGTAATGGCCTTCTTTGTCTCTTTTGAGCTTTGTTGTTTTAAAATCTGTTTTTTCAGAGACTAGGATTGCAACCCCTGCCTTTTTTTGTTTTCCATTTGCTTGGTAGATCTTCCTCCATCCCTTTATTTTGAGCCTATGTGTGTCTCTGCACATGAAATGGGTTTCCTGAATACAGCACTATGATGAGTCTTGACTCTTTATCCAGTTTGCCAGTCTGTGTCTTTTAATTGGAGCATTTAGCCCATTTACATTTAAGGTTAATATTGTTATGTTTGAATTTGATCCTGTCATTATGATGTTAGCTGGTTATTTTGCTCATTAGTTGATGCAGTTTCTTCCTAGCATTGATGGTCTTTACACTTTGGCATGTTTTTGCAGTGGCTGGTTTTTAAAATATCTTCTAGGTAAAAATATAATACATCAAAATTTTGTTGTGAATAATAGTTTTCTGATATGAATTAAACAGCTACTTTGTAGTTAGGAATTTTGTGAACAATTATAACAGAATTTAGTGAATCAATCAATGTGAACTACCATCAGTGTGTTTTTTGGCTTGACAAAGCAGCATATGAGAATCTTGTGTCATCACTCTTATGGTCACCATGGGTGAGACAAATCACATATTTAGTTAAGCTCTACATGAACTTTCTCTGTAATGCTTTCTGCTTTTTACAATTTCTGATGAATTCAATAACGTTCTACCAATAGGCCCTGGGCCACATTTGGAAAGGAATATATGACAGTGTTCATTTTTACTAAATTTTAGGCCCAATTATATATATTGTGTGGCTAAATTATCCAGATGCCTGTCACTCCAGATTGTCAGTGAAGTGTTAAACACAGAACAGAACTGAAAACATCAGCCATTGTCAAATTCATTTAAAGTGGGGGCTGCTTTTTTGGCTATTAGCATTTCTTTTTTTTTTCTGGGAGACAGAGTCTCGCTCTATCTTCCAGGCTGGAGTGGAGTGCAGTGGGATGATCTTCACTCACTGCAACCTCCGCCTCCGGGTTCAAGTTATTCTCCTGCCTCAACCTCCTGAATATCTGGGATTATAGGTTTCTGCCACCACACCCAACTAATTTTTGTATTTTTAGTAGAGATGGGGTTTTGTCATGTTGGCTAGGCTAGTCTCGAACTCCTGACCTCAAGGGATCCACCTGCCTTGGCCTCCCAAAGTGTTAGGATTACAGGCCTGAGCCACCACGGCCGACCTGCCATTAGTATTCTTTAAGGAAATGTCATCGATGAAAGCAGTAGATGTATCACCAGAGAAAACTATTTAATGTTGTTTAGGACTTTCAATGCACTTTAGCAGGAGAGGATGTGCTGGAGTTAACAATATTAATCATATATTCAAAACTCATTTTTAATGAGATATACATTAAATACCAAACAGAAATGCTCATGAATTTTTATAAGGTTAAAAATTTTTGACAAGGAATCATGCATTTTTAAATAAGAACTTTTATCAGGACAAAGTCTGCTTTTATAACTTTATCTTCTAGCCATTCTGTCTATTTTATCTTTTCTGTGTCTCATATTGAAATGCAAGTAATGTGCACCTTTATGTATATTCTCCACCTGAGGGAAAAATTGATCATTTTTTTGGGAAAAATCTGATCAATTTGTACTGTTAATAATAAACTTAAGCATATTAACTACTCACTGACTTATATATCCCCCTTGGGAATAGAGAACTTTCTTATATCAATCCAATGCGTTTTACTTAAATTAATACAAAAGTGCCCACTTTTTTATTGTAAAATACAAAAACAGACTAATATGTTAATACGTTGACAATCATTTTCTCCATTCCTTCATTAGGTAGATAACGTTTTTATGTTAATTGGAATTATTTTCATTTTTACAAATCATGATGGTTTTTTTTATGGATTAATTTTTATCTTCCATTTGGGGTACCGAGTTAACATCTGATAAGGATTTTCTGTGAGCAGACTACCTCAAAATCTAAGCAATCTCTTTCAATATGTCAATTTGAAAATAGTCATCAACTGTCTACCTGGATAGAAACAGACATATAAGTAAACACTAGAAATCAGAAATAATTGACAGTAGCTGCAAGAATAAATAATACACACATCTCTCATGGGAATCTCCAACCTGGACAGTTCTGTAATTCTGCTGATCTTTTCTGTTTCCACCATGTTCACTTTTGCCTTGTCAGAAACAAGTATTTGTACTATCAATTTCTCTCCTTTTTAGTGGCAGAAAAATACAAATAATATCTCTATCTGGCTGTCTCTATATCTCTCTATCTAGCTAGATAGATAGATAAATTGCTACACCTAATTAATATGTGTAGCTAGAGACACATAAATAAATATTTAGAAAATGTCCATTCAACCAGTCTTCTAATTATTCAAAAATTAACTGCAAGATAACTCCACTGAAGCTGTACTTTTAAAAATTATTTTGGTTGCTACTAGTATTTTTCTCCATAGCAAACTTTTTTCTCAGACCATCAGTTGACACATACGCAATCTTGTTTTTAGTTACATGTGAACACAGTTCATCTTACCAAGAGAATCATTTGGTCCTTGAGATCCGAGCCTACATCTCTTAATCAAAATAGGATTGAAATTGGTATTGAAGATACTGGTATCAAAGGATTGAAGATATACTTGGAGTTAATCATGGTTCAGCACTAATTAGCAATATGACCTGAACCAATATACTGACATATGCAAATTATTTAAGACTCAGTCTTCCATATGTATACATCAGATATATTTATTGCGATAATTCAAAACCTTGAGGTACCATAAAAATTAATCACTTTGGGAATTAATAAACAAATTGTGGAGGCCCACCTGAAGTACTCCAGAACATGAGATAGGAGGATTAAGCATATTGTATTTAAATCCCAAGGACTGTGTGAATGCAGCTTTTATTTATGCTACATACTCATTGTAAATGGAATGATTAACACATTTTCAAATGACAACATGGTTGGCTTTGAATTCAGATAAGCTGCATAATAAAACCATTGTTATCTAAATGTGATATGAATTATCTTATCCTAATTTATAATGTCATATAAATAAAGTTTTTAAAACTGTATGGTTTCATAGGTTGTTATTTGGGGCTTTCATATTTGGAAAATATTGCTATTCTCCCCTCAAATTAAAATAAACACCACAAACAGATTTTGATGTTACAGAGCTTAAAATGAATGCATTTTTGAAAAAGGCTCTTGTTTAGTCTTATGGCAGGAATGTTTCTGCATTTTGATCATGCTGACAAAGTTCGTCTGACTGCTCTAACTGCTTCTATTTTATATTTCATTACCTTAATATTAAAAGAATAATGGATGATTTGCTTACTTAACACATCATTCTCAGAAGGCCAGTGATGGCATATGCAAATGGACCATTCTTTTAAATGGTGGGATAACCCACTCCAAAGATTATTTCTGTGCCTTTATATGTTTCCCAACCCCTATTGTTTAGTCATAAATAACTTGACTCCTTTTAAACTACACATTTGTGCATGTGTGTGTTTCAGTATGTATGTATGTATTTGTACAGGAATTTGTTTGTTGTTTAGTTCACATTCTCACCCATGGACATCACCCCGGGAGCCCCATGAGGTGCCAAGAATGTCAAGATTATGCAAGTTTGGATACTGAGTGATGATCTGAATGAGATCCGAGAGCAGGTCACTCTTCCTTAGCACAGCTTTTTAAGTTCTCCCACTGTGCTTTTACATAGGAAAGCCAGGTTCTTTTTAAAAGATATTGCTATGTTTTCATTTTAAAAGACATGTAAGATAGTTTTATATATATATATATATATTTTTTTTTTAAGGAAATATATATATCTCTCTCCTTCAAAAATAGTCTGGGTGTTCAGCAGTACTTACTACTTGAAGTCTTATTTAAAAAGGACTCAACAACTTAGCCAATGTTATTGTTCTTTAATTACTTTTATTGGAACTTCAGAACATCAGGACTGTTCCTAGTTGACAATTTTGGTTCATGAAAAGTAAGCTACATTCTGATTTCCAGTGTTGCTAGAGCACATTGATTTAGGAACATTATTACTATATAATGACAGAATCCCCTCTTGGCAGTAAATTAGTCATGAAAAGGAAGATATCACCCACGTTATTTCTACTTCGAAGAGCAAATTTGTTTAGTAATGACAGTCATTATGATACCCAGATGAGAAAGTCATCCAAAATCATTTATAAAAATGAAATTAATCATATTCAAAATGAATGCCCCACTATAAATCATCTCTTTATGGGTTTATGGCCATGATAAACAGCATGCTTTGTGGGTTTAATATAGGCAATTATCCTGAGAAGGCTAAGGTGTGAGTCCCAGCTCTGTTAGAACTCAGATGGCCCTAGTCAATTCGGTTAAATTTCTAGTGCTTCAGCTTCTCTCATTATGAAATGGTGATGTGATTAAACCTGCATAAAGATGAAAGGAAAAATGCAAGTGACAACTGTTTGAAAATTATAAACCAGTATATATATGACCTTTCCTTGTTTGTTTTACTTGGGATTTTCAAGTATAATGGGGATATAAAAGAGTTTGAAATACCTTTAATAAGCAACCGTGGTCACCTCTTTCTTTTTACCTCTTAAAAATATTTTTCCCCAATGAAATTCATTTGAGAGCACTGCCTTTGGAGCTAGTGCTAGTTAGAGCTATGGAACATGGAAAAATATTACTTGACTCTTTATTCCCTTCTCCCCAGCAGATCCTCCAGTATGACCTAGATATCTGTACTCAACTTAAATGTTGGCATCCAGGCGTCTCAAGCAGCTTTGCTTAGTGTCAGGACCAAAAATAGACAGTCTGCCCTGCTATTAGGAGTTTCTAATTTATGTGTGTCTTCTTAAATAATCTGTATCTTCTATTTGGGTGTTCAAACATGTAGATGTAGTAAATGGCAGCTCCCTGAACCTACTGACAATAAACTTTATTTCCCCACCACTGGTGGTGATGGCGATGGTTGATGGTTGCGGGTTGGGGGTGGTTTTGTCAGGGGACAGTTTACTGCATTGCAGGAAAGTTTCCTTTAGTCCTTTAAGAATTCCTGGCTGCCTAGGTCTCTGGTGCTTATATACTGAAAAATTATTTCCTGTCTTATTTTGTCAAATTCATTTCCATTATTCCCCACCTACTTTCCAGAAGCTTCCCCAATGTGATTCCTTTTTGCCTTCGATAATTTGATAGCAACTTCTCTGAACTCTGAACTCAAGAACATAGGCCACTCTCAGATAAGATTCACTTCAGAGGAAAGTGCTTTCTGAGACTTGGATGGGAATTTTGTCACTTCCTAAGGGACTTCATTACTGGTCTCTCCTTTGTATAGGTGGTTGGTCATGAGATAAATGTTTCAGCATCTGCACATTTTCTGCCATTCATATTTGTGTTTATTCCTGTTAATTCTGTCTCCTTTAAGGCAACCCATATGCAATCCATGTACCAGGGTTGCAGACACTTGATGCATTGCAATTCTCAGAAATATCTGTAGTTTAAACGCACATCACTAAGAGAGGTTGATCTTAGTGTATCTTTGGTACACATTTAGTGTAAAAAAAATCAAAAATTGAGATGAAGAAAAAAGACCAAATACAGAAATAATGACCAAACTTTTCGAGTATACTTTTCTGAGACTTTCTTTTTGCATATAGGTCTGTATTTTTTTACTATAATAGGACCCATAGTATCCACAGTTTGAAACTTGAGTTTGTGATTATATGTTTGTGTGAGTATGTTTGTGTGATCTATATATTTAAAATAATAAACTATTTAATTAAAAATGTCAATTTTAGAGATGGAATAAATTCCACTATTTGGATATTTCATATTTTAGCCTATTTCTTAATGTGGTCCATTTAGCAACTATTTACAATATATTTTTATAAGATCGTGTATTAATATTTCTTCCCATAAATTAGAATTGTTAAATGTGGGAAAACGTTGGAACATGCAGGTGAGTCTTAGCAGTAGTTAATTTAGGGTCTTTGAGCAGATATTAGTGGGTTCAGTCATTCTCTGTAATTATGTAGAAAATATTTGTGTCCATGAATAGGTTAATTTATTCCTAAAAACTTCCATATTTTATCAGATTTTCACAAAATTTTAAAATCAATTATGTGGTTTTGTTTTTCTAGAATGGGCATCATATTGCTTTAGTAAATACATAAACACTGTTGGAGAGAAAATGATGATATAAGACTGATGACTGTAACAGTGCTTTTTGTTGTTGTTTGTTTGTTTTCACAAATTGTGTCATGGTAATCCAGAATCATGTCACACATCCCAGCCCTCTAACTAGCATAAGTGAGGATCTGTTTGGTATTCATCTTTGGCAGTGCCTCTACATAACATGAATTCCGTGCTTTGTAGAAGTGACTTTGAGCTTCTGCTTTATGTTGCATTATTATAATCACAGCACACCTTGATCTAGTCTTAGTATTTTGATTCTGAATCATCAGTAGATTGTGTTACTAGTTCTTATGCTAGATAGACTAACTCAACAGTTTCTAAATAAATATTTTTGCCAGTTCCAGTATAATGTCCATATGTCAGAGGGTTTCGCATTGTTCTGCAGATCACTTAACTATTTCAAAGAGAGCTCCACCTCCAGTGTTTCTATTAATCTCGAACAGAGAAGCAGATGGCAAACTGGTTCTCTTTCATGACAATAACCATTAATGGTATCCAGAACTTGATTTTATTTCCCAAAGCACTGTGAAGAAGTCTGCGGGTAAAATTTATAACGTTGTCTCTCTCTCCTATTTTTTCTCTCATTGGTATTCTTTACAGGGCTCATAAACTCAGCAAGTCAGCAGGCTAATCCTGTCAGATTTCAACTTTTTCTTTTCTTTGTAATTATTTTGCCGTCAGAAGACAACTTCTACATTGTAGGGGTTTTTGTTATTGTATTTTGTTTATTTATTTATTTCGCAATTTTTATTATCACTGTGTCTCCTAACACTAGGCAACAGATCAGAAGAAAAAAAAGGTCAGGGATATGAAAAGAAAAGAGGATAAGCAACCAGTAACACAAATTATTGAGGAACAAAACACTAGTAGACAAGAATGGATTCGATTTTATTGCTAGCAGATACCAAGTATAAAATAATTTAGCTTTCTGAGAACTTAAAGGAGAGCTGGATAATGAAGAGATGGAAAAAGTCTGCTGGGTTTCCAAATTAAAAAAAAAAAAACAAGTCTAAGCAAATGATTCCAAACACTTAATAGAGCTTTAAATATTAAATATTGTAATAATTTTGATTTCTAAAATGTTATTAATTTATAAAGTGGAAAGTAAATAGTGGCATCAAAAATTAAATTTGATATGACAGTGAGATAAAATTTATTCTGTTTCCTCAAAGATTTAACTGCTTTACTTTCAAAAGTGAAATGTTTGCCAGATTATTTTTTTCTTCAATTACTACTATATGAGTCATTGAAGCTGATAGTAAGAAAAAATGCTATTTGTGAAAATAGTTTACCACCTTTTGTGATTTACACATGTCAAATAGCTGGACAAGAAAAATGTTCTTGCCTCCATGGGGCATATGTTACTAAATGACCAAAGTGAAATTCTATAGGATAAATATTGAAAAATATAATTTGATTTGCATATCTTAAAAAGCCATTGCCCAAATCCTGATTTTCATGATAAATTCTGCAACTATGATTTTTTTCAATTAGTATAAATTGGTGAGACACGAATATGCAAACTTGAAGAGCTGCATTTTAGAAACTATAATAGCATCTCGTTAAATCATTAATAAATTAATTTCAAAGTGACAGATGACATACCATTTTGAAACACTATAGTTTTTTACTCAACTCCTCTCATCCCCAAATAATAATTAATGGGCCTGAGGCATTGTAATAAAGCACCAATTTGTATTGTTTTTCCGCTTGTTATATGAATCAGCTCTGCCTGCTTAGCTAGCCCAGTTGAGTTGGCTGGCTTGGCAGGGCCATCACCTGTGGCTCACTTGTCCCATGCATCACTGCCCAAAGCATGACTTCAATGCAGCCAGACTTACTTCTTTCTTATTTGCTTCCATTGTTTGTCAATCTGAAGTACCCAAAACCTGCCCTTATTTATTTCTATCATTATTATTATTCTGTATTTTCTTCATTCAATCCACTCTCAGTATAATCTTGGGAAGACTTTGTATGATAGGGCACTCAATAATATGCACGGTTTTGCTGCCACTGAGATTTTAGAGCTCCTTAGACATCATATACCAGTGTGTTAGTGGATTGTTGAAGCTAAAGATGTTACTCTATAAGGCTTGACTCCGCCTGAATTCCATTATCTTCAGCTTTATATTAAAAACTTGTTTGACATGTAACTTAGCCAAAGCTTCTTTTGAAACTACATGTATTAGTCTCTAGAACATACTACTCTACTTTGTGAAAACTCTCTACTCCTCTGCTAGATGTGAAATCCCAATTTCCCTCACCTTTGCCTATAAACATAACACCTAAAGAAACTTTAGGTTGCTTATTCGATAATAATAAATTAGATTTAACATTAATCCAAAACATTTTGACTAAGGATGCTGACCATATACCTAGCCACTTGTCCACCTGTCTTCCTTATGACTTTCAAATTACTACAACTTTGAAATGTTATCTATAATTGTATCCACAAAGGTAGGATAATATCTACCATGCAATATTTTGCAGATAAAAATCAATACAATTAATTCTCCACCTTTCTTTAGTAAATAAGGTCCTGTTATATAATAGTCAGTTGTACATTGAACAAACCCTATGGAGATACTTGGATATTGAATTTTAAAAGTACCACTGGACTATCTCATTGTATCCAAAGTAATAAAAACATTAAAAAAGAGTAACACTTACTGGTTTCCTTCAATAACTTTTCCTGATGGATTTACTTCCTACCACATTTGACAATCCTATTCTGACTGCGTAGTTCAAGTTTACATCTGCTTTAATAAAAATAATGAACTAATTATATGTATAAATACAATGAGTTTAAACTGAAAAAAACCTTGTAGCTTCTATAATATTTAAGAATAACATATATCATTAAGTATTTTCACTGCATAATAAGTTTAAGTCTTCTATTGTAACTCCTGTGATTTATATAATTTGTTGAATAGAAAAATCAGAATTCTAGTTAATCAAATGTCTGGAATCATAGAGCTTAGTCTTTTCTCTTTTTTCTTAGTCGTTACTAAAATTATTAATTTAAACTGAGTTAATGTGTACAAATAGCTCAATTTATTTCAACTAAATAGAGAACTTACAATGTATACGTTTACAGGTACGCTCTATGTCCTCATATGTTACAGAAAGTAATAAGCCCACTGTTGCTCCCAAAAGGTTTGCAGGCTTGAACTGTGTACAATCATTTATTTATTCTATTGTTTAATCTTTCAATGAACTACTGGTTGACAAATTTTTTAAAGATTAGCTGCGCCTGTAGTCCCAGCTACTCAGGAGGCTGAGGCAGGAGAATGGCCTGAACCCGGGAGGCGGAGCTTGCAGTGAGCCGAGATTGCGCCACTGCACTCCAGCCTGGGCGACAGAGCCAGACTCCGTCTCAAAAAAAAAGATTAGCTAAAGTAAGTCTATAGTGAGACAGGGATTCAAACACTGACATGCAAGTGAAAATATAAAAGAAATGAGAAACATATTTGGGGGTGAGCAAACAATCTTAAGATTGATTGATTGGTTGGAAGTGTGACATAAAGAATACAGGAATGTATTGGAAAATACCTTGAATGCCAGGTTAAGAAATTATATTGATGTTATTCCGAATTGGGAAAGAGGGGATTAAAATTATGAGTAAGTATTATAGCCACTGAGAAACAAATAAATTTAAAATTTGAAACCAAAGGAATGAGTGCTGTAAACAGGAATTGAAATCTGCATAAGACATATAAGAATGGAGAAAGAGAAATTATAATTTCAGGTTGATAAAAATTTAGGTATAATCTGCTTTGTATCATTATCATGAGATTATCATGCTTTTATCCTGCAAACTCTTCCACACAGTGGTTCAGTCCAGAGGAGGGAAACTGACTGTCAAGGTTTATTCGGGCAGCTATAACAAAATGCCATGGACTAGACAGCTTATAAACAACAGAAATGTATTTCTTACAGTGCTGAAAGTCCAGATCAGGCAACAGTAGATTGGTGTCTGGTGAGGCCTCATTTTCTTATAGGTGATGCCTTCTCTGTGCCTGCACATGGTGACCTCATATGGTGAAGGGACAAGGCAGCTCTCTGTGGATTCCTCTATAGGGCACTCATCCCATTCATGAGGACTCTACTCTTATGACTTAATCACCTCCCAATACCATGCTAATACCACCACCTTGGTGGTTAGGATTTTAACATATGAATTTTGGGGGGACACAAACATTCAGATCACAGCACTGGCATTTATTGAATGCCTGCTCTATATGCCAGGCTCTTTGCTAACTACACTCCCTGTATTGCCATCACTGGAATGGAAGGCTCACGGCATTGTCTAGTTATGCTGAATTCTATGTCACCAATGAGTGCCTAGCATTATGGACATCCCATCCATATCTTTTAAATACTTGAAATAATTCAATTCATAATAGTATCCTGCTAGGCTGATACCATTAGTACCAGTTTACAGATGAGAAACCTGAAGCTGACCACTCAAGATGATAGAGCCAGCAAGTCCCAGAGTAATGTTTTATTCAAATATGCTTGCTTTTTCAAGTATAAAATCTGTCTCATCGTGGATTATATATGTGTGTGTCCATGTATATGTACATGAACAATCATCTGATTTTTCCAGTCTGTTCACAACACTATCTAGTTTTCTTTAAAAATACATTTCTGAGTTGAAGCTTTAACTAGTGGACTGAATTTAAATAAAAATAAAGCTCTTTATACTCTAATCAAATTAGCATTGCATTTTGTTGGTTCAGCAGACTGAACAAATTCCGACATTCAAAATAAATGGAGCTTAGGATACACGATTTCAGGAAACTGACAATAACCTCTCTGCTACCACTAAGGGTTCAGAGTGAACCTCGTCATTTTATTCCTTCTACTTCAAAAGCACTCAGGCTTAAAGAAAGCTCTAACGGTTATCTCAGTAAAATGTCAGAAGCCTGTGCTATGGGCAGCCAGAAGGGATTGTGCAGATCCTGACTCTATCAGGGCTGTGGTGGTCGCTGCTGCCTGTAACGTTAGTGCCAGACTAGACTACACTGCAAAAATGACCTTCTCCATAATAACAGCTTTCAGATTTGCCCTTCACAATGAGGTTCTCTGGGCATGAGCTTTGGTTCTGGTTGTTGGAAGGTGAACCGTCCTGGAGGAGAGCCAAAAATCTCCACAGGCATTATGCTTAACCCCATGGCCTCTTGTTAATATAGTTAATAGCTGAGGCCAAGTTCATAATCTCCACCTCAGGAGAATGACTGTAAAATGTTGAAATCCACATGGGGTAGACAGATTCTGATTCCACTGCAGACTACATCACACTGGATGTTTCAAAGGTTTTCTGATTTAGTATCAGTAATACTACTGGCACTACAACTAGTACTAATAGGAATCCTGATGGTAATACTACTAATGCTACAAATAATAATAATCATCATATGCCTCAACCAATTTGTGGAGTTTAAATAAGCAATAATAGCAATGTATTAGTCAGGATTCTTTAGAGGGACAGAACTTAAAGGATAGATGTATACATGAAGAAGAGTTTATTAAGGAGTATTGACTCAAAGAATCACAAGGTGAAGTCCCACAATAGGCCATCTGCAGGCTGAGGAGCAAGGAAGCCAGGCGGCATCCCAAAACCTCAAAAGTAGGGAAGCCGATGGTGCGGTCTTCAGTCTGTGGCTGAAGGTCTGGAAGCCCCTGACAAACCGCTGGTGTAGGTCTAAGAGCCCAAAAGCTGAAGAATTTGGAGTCCGATGCTCAAGGGCAGGAAGCCTCCAGCACAGGAGAAAGATGAAAGCCAGAGACTTAGCCAGTCAGATCCTTCCACGTTCTTTTGCCTGCTTTTATCCTAGCCACACTGTCAGCTGATTAGATGGTGCCCATCCAGATTGAGGATGGGTCTCCCTCTCCCAGTTCACTGACTCAAATGTTAATCTCCTTTGGCAACACACTCACAGACACACCCAGGAACAATATTTTGCATCCTTCAATCCAATCAAGTTGACAATCAATATTCACTGTCACAGCAATAAATACTGATGCAGTGGTTAAACATGGCTTATATAGCAACAATCACTTTTATCCTTTAGAAATATATCCAACGTCAATATTAAGCTCACTTGATACATGAGGAAATTTTATCTGAAGTTGGTTTTCTGTATTACTCAAAATAAGATACCTGTTAAATGGAGATGGGTAACTCAAGTCCAGCTCTCCTCACTTCAACACTTCTAGGTTTTTTTCTTTTCTTCTTTTCCAGTTACCTACAGGTGATCCACTTTGTAGTGAGTAACATTTCAAAGCATCATTAAGATACAAAACTCCCCAGTTTTAAGGGTTTTGACTTTTGCACTGACCTTTCCCAGCAGGTTGTACTATACATGAATAGATCCCTTTAGCAAGAGCTCGTAGTGGGCAATCAACCTCTGAACAACTTTCAACTATCGAGAAATGTCAAGGGTCTCTGGAGTGAGTACCGTGTTTCATGTTCAACTTTCATGCCACGTACCAACTCCCAGATTGACATTTCTTGTGCAGCATATTTTTAATTAATGTTGAAATATTTTTATAGTACTCAAACCTAGAATCTATTATATAATCTATCACTTGTATTCATTTTTTTCTGTGTGGAAAGTGACATATAACATTTATAAGGTGATATTTTCTCTCAAAGTCTGTGAAGACAATGATGTGATTTGTTTGTTTTCAATTTGGGCCACAATGAACCAATTAGGGAAGTAGAATTGATAGTAATCTGGGGATAAAATAATCTCAGAAATTATGTAAAGAATTATGTAAATACGTTATGTAAATAATGCTAAAAATATGAATGATAGGATTTTTCAAAAGTGGGATAAGAGGGATTGTGTGAACAAAGAAGATTTAAAATTGATGGTAATTTAATGCAAATTTCTAGAATGACACCTTTTTATTTATAAGAATTCAAGATACGATGCAATAACCACTGAAGCCAATCTTGGTTTCAGAAGAAAATCATGACAACTAGTTCCATATTCTCCTTTTTTTTTTTTTTTTTTGAGATGAAGTCTTTCTCTGTCACCCAGGATGGAGTACAATGGTGCGACTTCGGCTCACTGCAACCTCTCCCTCCCGGGTTCAAGTGATTCTCTTGCCTCAGCCTCCCGAGTAGCTGGAATTACAGATGTGTGCCACCACAGCCAGCTAATTTTTTTGTATTTTTAGTAAAGACAGGATTTCACTACGTTTGCCAGGCTGGTCTCGAACTCCTGACCTCAGGCGATCCGCCTGCCTCAGCCTCTCAAAGTGCTGGGATTACAGGCATGAGCCACTGTGCCCGGACCCATTCTCCTTTTTGACATAATTAGTAGACTAGACAAACTTGGAAACTGCTGTGGTTGTACATAGCGTATCTTGATTTCAACAAACGTTTGACAAATTTTTAAAATATTTTCTTTTAAAAAGTGAAGACATATGAATTTGTGATAATACAATTAGATGATTTTAATTGATTGAGCAAGAACACTCAAATAGAACTAGCTATTGAAATGACAGCCATCAGTAATGGCAAAAACTGCAATTACTTTTGCACCAAACTAATAGGTTAATAAATATATTTAACATTTTTATATTGATTAGTGTTAAAAGGTAACTTACATCAAGTTCTGACCATAAGTTAAAGAATCTGTGGCTGACACAAATCTGGTGTTTTAGATTTTAGAATTGTGATTCAGAAAAATTATTTAGTTTAGAACAATGCATACAGTTTAACAAGGTATACACTTCAAGAGAAAAAAAGAGAACTTTACACATTAAATTTCAAAAGGACCAACTCGACAGTTACAGGACAGGGAAAAGACTATTTTAACAGTGTTTTCTGTAAAAAAGAACTGTAGGCACCAGGCTATAATTGACTGCAATCTCAGCATGAATCATCAGCATGATGTGGAAGCCAAAAGAAAATAAAAAATCTAAAGTGATTTGAGTCGCATTAATAAAAGAGTAATTGTCAGAATAGGAACACCATGGGCCTCTTTACCCCGTCCTCATCAAATCAATGTTGCAGTGCGCTGTTAAGTTTAAGACATTGTGTTTTATTTTGAAATTGGCAAGTTTCAAAAATCAAAGTTCGTCAGAACACGGGCAGTTTTGAAATGTATGCCAATTACAGAAATGGCTCACCTTGGGAAAAATCTTAGTAAAAGGGTTTCAATAACTTTTCTAAGTGACTTTCTGACTACCTTAGTGAGAAAAAGATGAAGAGATTGTTAAATTTGGGTGATACTCACAGACATACACACATTCTCTATTATGAGATGAGGTACCATATTACTTTGTGAGCTGCTTGCTACTGGAACTATCTACAAAAGTCAGTAATGTTGATGATGCATCTGTACACTTACATAGTATTTGCCAGACACAAAATGATCCTGGAAAATACATATTGCTTTCATGCTTTTTAATTATTTTTTAAATGAAGGCTTTAGAGTCAGAGAATTTAGTCTATTTGCCTGTGTCCACATATCTAGTAAGCAGTAATCATAGTGATTTCATCTGTAATGATGCTTGGTAGTTCAAAGCTATCATGGCTACATAGCTGTTAGCTGTGGGTGGTTGTTGCCACAGGTGAAATATGAGTCTCATGCTTCTTTCAAATCCCAAAATACATTGAAACTTATCTTTTATCATAGGTTAAGTGGTCAAATTAATTTACTTATGGATTTTCAAATCAATCAACACATTCATATTGTTATTATTTTATTATTAATCCACATTCAAATAAGCCCTGGTATATGAAATTTTAAACTTTAGCTTAGAAAGCAAAAACAATAATCAGTTTTCTATCTTTTTTTCTAAAGTATATAAAATATGGTCGTGACATAATGCAACAAGAAAACAAACATGATTTCCTTAAGGCTCACAAGAATAATTGAAAATGTATATGGTAACTATAAATATATGAGTCAGCTATTTTGGACATCAAAGACCTAAGGCCCAATTTTCGCCTATGACAGGGCAATTAATATTGGATGGCTTCCTCTAGACTCTTTTCCCCATCATAACATATTAGAACTTTATTTCCTGTAAGCAGAAAACCATAATCCATTTTTCAAGCCCTTCAGGGTGTTTCTTAGGTGATTTCTTATAGTTGCCTATGCCAAAGTAGCATTGCCTTGAGCATTTAGAAAGTATGAAAAGTTTCAGCTTGTTATCCTAAATAAAACAAAAACACAGTGAATTTAAGTGAAAATGTATCTACAACATATGCTAGGGTAAACTGAGCAATTAATAAAGAGATAGTTGTGCTAAGAGAGAATTTGCTGTTGCTGGATATTCCTGAAATATTGCAAGTGACTGTCAAATATAACCACAGTGTGCTTAAAAAATATTTAGGATTTCTAATTACCATGGAAATCCTATGGAAGACAACTTTCCACATTAAATTTCAAAAGAACCAACTTCTCACGCCTGTAATCCCAGCACTTTGGGAGGCTGAGGCAGGCAGATCATGAGGTCAGGAGATTGAGACCATCCTGGCTAACACAGTGAAACCCCATCTCTCCAAAAAATACAAAAAAATTAGCTGGGCGTGGTGGCGGGAGCCTGTAGTCCCAGCTACTCGGGAGGCTGAGGCAGGAGAATGGCATGAACCCGGGAGGCAGAGCTTGCAGTGAGCCAAGATCGCGCCACTGCACTCCAGCCTGAGTGACAGAGCGAGACTCCGTCTCAAAAAACAAACAACAACAACAGAATGAAAAAAGCAACTTCTTTTCTCCTTTGAACAGCTTTTAGTCTGTGTTCTCTCTCTCTCTCTCTCTCTCTCTCTCTCTCTCTCTCTCTGTGTGTGTGTCTGTGTGTGTGTGTGTGTGTGTGTGTGTGTAGGGTTTATGTTTTATCTGTGATTTATTTTTGTCTGATGTAAACTTAAAAAATTCTGATGGATGGAAGATTGGGAGTATATGGAAACTTCCCATGTTAGTCTACGTTCTACTTTGAAAATACCAGGGGAGGCCAGATGAGGTGGCTTAGGCCTGTAATCCCAGCACTTTGGGAGGCTGAGGCGGGCAGCTCACATGCGGTCAGGAGTTGGAAACCAGCCTGGCCAACATAGTGAAACCCCGTCTCTACTAAAAATACAAAAATTAGCCAGGCATGATGGTTGGCTCCTGTAATCCCAGCTACTCAGGAGGCTGAGGCAGAGACACAAGAATCCCTTTAACCTGAGAGGCGGAGGTTGCAATAAGCTAAGATCCTGCCACTGCAATCCAGCCTGGGCAACAGAGTGAGACTCCATCAAGACAGACAGACAGACAGACAGACAGACAGAAAGAGAGACAGAGAGAGAAAGAGAGAAAGAAAGAGAAAGAAGGGAGGGAGGGAAGGAAGGAAGTGAGGAAGGGAGGAAGGGAGGGAGGGAAGGAAATAAGGAAGGAAGGAGAGAGAGAAAGAGGGAAGGAAAGAAAAAAGAAGAAAGAAAGAAAAAGAAGGAAAGGAAAGAAAGAGAAAGAAAGAAAAATAAGAAAGAGAAAGAAATAGAAAAGGAAAGAAAGAAAAAAGTAAGAAAGAGAGAAAGGAAGGAAGGATGGAGGGAGGGAGGGAGGAAGGAAGGGAGGAGGGAGGGAGGGAGGGAGGGAAGGAAGGGAGGAAGGAAGGAAGGAAATACCAGGGGACATAGACATTTTATAAATTCTCAGTAAGTACAAATGGTAATAGACTTTGCTGAATACTGCGGGGCTTGTTCAAGCCCTTATGTTCCTACAAGATTTGGACAGAAATAATGTATTAATAATTCTCCTCAAATCTCTAGATACATTCTATGGTTTCTGAGAGTTATACAGCTGTTCTGATTAACTGGTGATACAGTATTGAGAACACTTTCCTCATTTCTCTCTGCTAAGGACTGAATGCTTTTGTGCTCCTCAAGTTTATGTGTTGAAACCCTTATCCCCAGTGTGATGGTATTCGGAAGTGGGACCTTTGGGAGATATTGAAGGTTATATTAGTAATGTGTGTGAGGCCTCATAATGGGATTAATGCCCTTATAAAAAGAGGAAGAGAGCTGAGACCTCTCTCTCAATGAATGCACCAAGGGAAGGCCATGTGAGGACACAGCAGCAAGAGGGACCCCACCAAGATCTGAAACTTGCTGACACCCTGATCTTGGACTTTCTGCCTCAAGAACCGTGAGAAATGTTAAGTTCACTGTTTACGCTGCCAGTTATGTTTTTTTTTTATAGTAGCCCAAACTGACTAAGACACTCTCTCCATCTTTTGCTTGCAAATTCATCAAGAGTACCTCTGTCTCTGTAGAAGAAAAATTTCTAGGAATGAAAGCACCAAGATTGCATCAAGAACCCTGGATTTTGGTTCTTGGTTCTGCAGAGATGTATGATTGCCTAACGGTTGCCTAACAGTGAAATGATCTTATACAAAATATTTGATATAATGAAGGGTAAGAGCTGCATGACTAAAACAACTTCTGCCTGAAATAGCTAGCCTACTTGAAGTTTCTCAGGATCCTCACTATGTCTGTGCAGTAAATACAGCTCCATCACAGCTCAGCCTGAAGCAGCCACAGACAGCTGCCTACGAAGGAATAGTGAGCTGACATCTACCCTTAGAAAGGTGTATTATGGCTTATTTAGGTCATAATCAAAATCATGATGTTTCTTGTCTTTCATATCTTTTTATGCCCAGCACAACCCCTCTGTCAGAAGTCCAAATGGCATTCCTTATATTTTAGTTTGGTAGCTCTAAAGGATGCCTGTGTATCTTTTCTGTAACTGCTCAAGTCAAACATAGCCTGTATTTTAAGTCTAGCCATTCTTTCTTTATTCTTTTTGTAGAGATAGGGGTATCACTGTGTTGCCCAGGCTGGTCTTTAACTCCTGGACTCAAAGAATTCTCCTACCTCACTTATACAGCAGTTATGAGGTACTGCACCTGGCCTGACCATTCTTTATGTTAAAAGAATATCTGTTTGTTTTCATGAACAGGCAGAGAGACACCAGGATTCCTGATAATTGAGAAATTAAGCAGTTCTTAAAATAGGAGAATTTACATTAGCTGAGTCTCTAAAAAGTATATAGACTATAGTAAGAATTATCCACATAGATTACTAGAATATTTTCAGATCTGTAAACCAGATGACATGCTGCATGAAAATTTAGAACTAAAGCTTAATGTTACATAAAATCTGTCATTTATATTACAAAGATAACAGATGCCAAAGATGTGACTACTAAGAACACAGCAGATTTTGACTAATTCCTTTTCTTTGAAAAGGGTAGGTATTTTTCTTCAGTATTCCAAGTTATTCTGAAGAATAAATGAAATGAAGACACTCAGACTTTTGTAAACTGAGAAGGAAAACCTCCCAGAGAAATTTACTATTACCATCCATGATAGTAAAAGTATTTTAGAAAACTTTACAAGACTAAGATTTAAAACAGAATTATTGTCTATAGAATATTTAACAGCTTCTCAAAACAGCTTGTAATGGTATACATTTATTAAATATTTGTGAATGAATAAAAAAGAAATGAGTGACTAATTCCAAATAAATGAAGATTATTTAAGAACATTTTCTAGTTGTCAAAATCACTAGAGTTTGAAAAACAGATTTTTTTTTTTTTTTTGAGACGGAGTCTCCTTCTGTTGCCCAGGCTGGAGTGCAGTGGTGCGATCTCGGCTCACTGCAAACTCTGCTCCTGGGTTCACACCATTCTCCTGCCTCAGCCTCCCGAGTAGCTGGGACTACAGGCACCCGCCACCACGTCTGGCTAATTTTTTTGTATTTTTAGTAGAGATGGGGTTTCACCTTGTTAGCCAGGATGGTCTCAATCTCCTGACCTTGTGATCCGCCCACCTCAGCCTCCCAAAGTGCTGGGGTTACAGGCGTGAGCCACGGCACCCAGCCCAGAATTTTTTGAAAATAGCTATAAATGTATCCCTATGGAGCTAAGAAACCTACATTTGATAATTTAAGGTTCAAGGAAAAAGCATTTTTCTGAAGTGCTAATGCTCAAGGTATATAAAATGTTCAAATAGCTCCAATTCGTTTATAATGGAAGACACTATGTAAGCATAAAAATTATCCAGATTAAATTGAATTTAATGACTTTCCGTCTTGTAAGTGTTTAAAATGAAACCATTGAACAGATAGTAAAATAGAAATGTACTTATATACATACATACACATATGCATACATATATGGAAAATATTAGCAATACATAATTATGACATAAATTTAAATTTTAAGGAAATGCAACACATTATTAAGAAAACAATTTTCTATGTATATATGTAACATCTGTCTTTCACTTTTCTGCTCTTTATTTTAAATGAAAAACAAAAGCTTATTAATGTCCTGATACTGGCCATCTATTCCTTTTCCCCTGTTTTTCAAAGACCTGCTAAAGGCTTGTGAATATTGTTCATTAAAATCAGTGGAGTATATTTTGACTCTTCAAAAAGCTAGTAAAAATGAATAAAATAAATTAAAGCTAGATTATCCCTTTTGTAGTTACATTTATTTACCTCATCCTTTACTCTGAGTGTTCTCTGGATCTGATTTCCTCTAGGGTTGTGTTCCCTAAAAATCTCTCTCATGAATCATTAGCTTCATTTATTGCTTCTCCTCAGTCTACAAATTAATTCAATTAATTTTCTTTAAAACAAAATGAAACAAATAGAACCCTCAAAACCAAATATTTATAAGTATAGCTAACATTTACTGTGCTTTAAGCACTTAACTGAATTAACCTCTACAGCAACCCCATGATATAAGTATATTACCTCCTTGACCAATAAAGTCATTACGATGTAGAGAATTTAAGTAACACTTAAAACACTAAAAAACTGTCCAACCTAAGGTTTGAAATCCAGCTCAGGGGCATGATTTGTCTGTTTAGTCACTCAGCACTGCAGTCTCTAAGGCAAAAATGCAGACAAAATTACTTTCCAGACAGTACTTTCTACCGTGGTGCAGAAGTTTACTACAAATTTACTGGCTTAAAAAAACAAACATTTGTCATGTCCCATTTTCAATGGGTTAGGAGTCTGGGTGCAGCTTGGCTGATTTCTCTGCTCAGGAGTCATAAGGTTGCAATGAAGGTATCACTGGACTTTGTTCTTTATAGAACTCTAAGTCCTCTTCCAAATTCATGAGGTTGTTGGCAGCTTTCAGTTCTTTGCAGTAATAGGACTGAAGCCTCTGTTCTTTTTGCTGGCTGTCAGCTGGGAGTCACCTTTAGCTCCTGGAGGTCCCATTTGTTCCCTTCCACATTGTCCTACTCAGCCATCTGACAACATAGGAGCTTACTTCTTCAAAGCCAACAAGTTAATTTCCATCTCCATTCTGCTAAGATCAGAATCTTATATGACACTCCATCATCTTTGCCACATTCTTTTTAAATTTTTAAAATGTTTAAAGGTTTAAATTTTAAAAATTTTGTGGGTACATAGTATGTGTACATATTTATGGGGTACATGAGATATTCTGGTACAGGGAGGCAATGCGTAATAATCCCATAATGGAAAATTGGGTATTCATCCTCTCAAGCATTTATCCTTCATGTTACAAAAAAACTTTTAGTTATTTTTAAATGTACAATTAAATTATTATTGGCTATAGTCCCCCTACTGTGCTATCAAATATTAGGTCTTATTTATTCTTCTATTTTTTTTTTGTACCCATTAACCATCTCCAGTTTCCCACCACCCTCTCAGTACCCTTCCCAGCCTCTGGTAGTCATCCTTCTATTATCTTTCTCCATGGGTTCAATCGTTTTGATTTTTAGATCCCACAAATAAGTGAGTACATGCAGTATTTTCCTTTTTGTAACCAGCTTATTTCACCTAATATAATCACCTCCAGTTCTATCCATGTTGTTGCAAATGGCATAATCTTATTCTTTTTTAGGGCTGAATAATAGTACTCCATCATGTATAAGTACCACATTTTTTTAATCAGTTCATCTGTAGATGGACACTTAGGTTTCTTCCAAATCTTAGCTATAAGGAACAGTATGCTATAAACATGGGACTACAGATATCTCTTTGAGTTACTAATTTTCTGTCTTTTGGATATATACCCAGCAGTGGGATTTCTAGAACATATGGTAGCTCTACTTTTATTTTTTTGACAAGCTCCAAAGAGTTCTGCAGAGTGGTTGTACTAACTTACATTCCCACCAACAGTGTACAAAGGTTTCCTTTCCTCCACACCCTCACAAGCATTTGTTATTGCCTGACTTCTGGATAAAAGCCATTTTAAGTGGGATAAGATGATATTTCATTGTGGTTTTGTCTGGCATTTCTCTTAAAATCAGTGAAGTCAAGAACCTTTTCATATACCTGTTTGCAAATTGTATATGTTCTTTTGAGAAATGTCTATTCCAATATTTTGTCCATTGTATTAGTCCATTCTCACATTGCTGCTAAAGACATATGAAGACTGGGCAATTTGCAAAAGAGAAAGGTTTAATTGGACTTACAGTTCCATGTGGCTGGGGAGGCCTCACCATCATGGTGGAAGGCAAGAAGGAGCAAGTCACGTTTTACATGGATAGCAGCAGGCAAATAGAGATTGTGCAGGGAAACTCTCATTTTTGAAACCATAAGATCTCATGAGACACATTCACTATCATGAGACCAGCATGGGAAACACTTACCCCCATGATTCAATCATCCCCCACAAGGTCCTTCCCACAACATGTGGGAATTACGGGAGCTATAAGATGAGATTTGGGTGGAGACACAGGGCCAAACCATATCATTCCACCCCAGCACCTCCCAAATGTCCTCACATTTCAAAACCAATCATGCCTTCCTAATAGTCCCCCAAAGTCTCAACTCATTTCAGCATTAAATCAAAAGTCCATATTCCAAAGTCTCATCCTAGACAAGGCGTGTCCCTTCTGCCTATGAGCCTGTAAAATCAAAAGCAAGATAGGTACTTCCTAGATACAATGGGGTACTGGCATTGGGTAAATACAGCCATTCCAAATGGAAGAAATTGGCCAAAACAAAGGGGCTACAGGCCCCATGCAAGTCTGAATGCCAGCAGGGCAGTCAATCTTAAAGCTCCAAAATGATCTCCTTTGACTCTGTGTCTCCCATTCAGGTCACACTTATGCAAGAGGTAGGTTCCCATAGTCTTGGGTAGCTCCAACCCTGTGGCTTTGCAGGGTACAGCCTCCCTCCCAGCTGCTTTCACAGCTGGCATTGAGTATCTGCAGTGTTTCCAGGTGGATGGTGCAAGCTGTCAATGGATCTACCATTATGGGGTTTGAGGGTTGTGGCTCTCTTCTCATAGCTCCACTGGGCAGTGCCCCAATAGGGACTCTGTGTGGGGGCTCCGACCTCACATTTCCCTTCCACACTGCCCTAGCAGAGGTTCTTCATGAGGGCCCCACCCCTGCAGCAAACTTCTGCCTGGGCATCTAGGCCATTCCATACAATTTCTGAAATCTAGGTAGAGGTTCCCAAACCCCAATTCTTGACTTGTGTGCACTGGCAGGCTCAACACCATGTGGAAACTGCTAAGGCTTGTGGCTTGCACCCTCTGAAGCCATGGCCCAAGCTGTACCTTGGCCACTTTTGATCACAGCTGGAGTGGTTGGGAAGCCAGGCACCAAGTCCCTAAATTGCACACAGCACAAGGACCCTGGGCCTGGCCCATGAAACCTTTTTTTCTTCCTAGGCCTCCAGGACTGTGATGAAAGGGACTGCTGTGAAGACCTCTAACATGCCCTGGAGATATTTTCCCCCTTGTCTTGGGGATTAACATTTGGCTCCTCCTTACTTAGGCAAATTTCTTCAGCCCTCTTGAATTTCTCTTCAGATAATGGGATTTTCTTTTCCATCACATTGTCTGGCTGAAAATTTTCTGAACTTTTATACTCTGTTTCCCTTTTAAAACTGAATGATTCTCACAGCACCCAAGTCACCTCTTGAATGATTTGCTGCTTAGGAATTTCATCAGTCAGATATCCTAAATTATCTCTCTCAAGTTCAAAGTTTCACAAATCTCTAGGACAGGGGCAAAATGCCACCAGTCTCTTTGCTAAAACATAACAAGAGTCACCTTTGCTCCAGTTCCGAACAAGTTCCTCATCTCCATCTGCAACCACCTCAGCTTGGACCTTATTGTCCATGTTGCTGTCAGGCTTTTGGTCAAAGCCATTCAGTAAGTCTCTAAGAAGTTCCAAACTTTCCCACATTTTCCTATCTTCTTCTGAGCCCTCCAAACTGTTCCAACCTCTGCCTGTTACCCAGTTCCAAAGTGGCTTGCCTCTACATTTTCAGGTATCTTTCAGTGGTGCCCCACTCTACTGTTAACAATTTACTGTGTTAGTCCATTTTCACACTGCTGATAAAGACATACCCAAGACTGGACAATTTACAAAGGAAAGGAGTTTAATTGGACTCACAGTTCCATGTGGCTGGGGAGGCCTCACAAACATGGTGGAAGGCAAGAAGGAGCAAGTCACGTTTTACATGGATAGCAGCAGGCAAAAAGAGATTGTGCAGGGAAACTCCCCCTTGTTTTTGTTTTTGTTTTTTTTTTTCTTTTGAGATGGAGTCTTACTCTGTCACCCAGCCTGGAGTGCAGTGTTGCCACCTCAGCTCACTGCAAGCTCTGCCTCCCAGGTTCACGCCATTCTCCTGCCTCAGTCTCCTGAGTAGCTGGGACTACAGTTGCCTGCCACCACGTCTGGCCAATTCTTTGTATTTTTAGTAGAGACGGTGTTTCACAATCTTAGCCAGGATGGTCTCGATCTCCTGACCTCATGATCCACCCACCCATTTTTAAAACCATCAGATCTCATGAGACCCATTCACTATCACAAGAACAGCAAGGGAAAGACCTGCCCCCATGATTCAATCATCTCCCACGGGGTCCCTCCCACAACATGTGGGAATTATGGGAGCTACAAGATGAGATTTGGGTGGGGGCACATAGCCAAACCAAATCACCCATTTAAAAAATCAGATAATTAGATTTTTTTTTCACATAGAGTTGTTTGAGCTCCTTATTCTCGTTATTAATCTCTTGTCAGATGAGTAGTTTTGAAATTTTTTCTCCCATTCTGTGGGTTGTCTCTTCACTTTGTTGATTTTTTTCCTTTTCTATGCAGAAGCTTTTTAACTTGATGTAACCCCATTTGTCAATTTTTGCTTTGGTTGCCTGTGTTATGGGGTATTACTCAAGAAATTTTTGTCCAGACAAATGCTGTGGAGAGTTTCTGCATGTTTTCTTATAGTATTTTTATAGTTTGAGGCCTTAGATTTAAGTCTTTAATACATTTTGACTTGTTTTTGTATATGGTGAGAGAAGGGTCTAGTTTCTTTCTTCAGCATATGGATATCCAGTTTTCCCCTCACCATTTATTGAAGAGACTGTGTTTTCCCCAATATATGTTCTTGTCACCTTTGTTGAAAATGAGTTCACTGTAGATTTGTGGATTTATTTCTGGGTTCTCTAGTCTGTTTCTCTAGTCTATGTGTCTGGTTTTATGCCAGTATCATGCTGTTTTGATTACTATAGCTCTGTAGTACAAAGTCAGGTAACGTGATTCCTCCAGTTGTGTTCTTTTTGTTCAGGATGCTTTGGTTACTCTGGGTCTTTTGTATTTCCCTATAAGTTTTAGGATTGTTTTTTCTATTTCTATGAAGGATGTCATTGGTATTTTCATAGGGATTGCATTGAATCTGTAGATTGCTTTGGGTAGTATGGACATTGTAACAATATTGGTTCTTCCAATCCATGAACATGGAATTTCATTTTTTTTTTCTATTCTCTTCAATTTCTTTCATCAGTATTGTATACTTTTCACTCTAGAGATATTCCACTTCTTTGATTAAGTTAATTTCAAATTAACTTAATATTTAATTTTATTTGTGGCTTTCATACGTGTGATTACTTTTTAAATTTCTTTTTTTTAGATTGCTTACTGTTAAAACACAGATAATTTGACTTCTTCCTTTCCAATTTGGATGCCCTTTATTTCTTTCTCTTGTCTGATTGCTCCAGCTAAGACTTCCAGTACTATAGTAAATAACAGTGGTGACTGTGGGGATCTTTGTCATGTTCCGGATCTAAGAGAAGAGACTTTCAATTCTTACCCAGTCAATGTGATACTACATGTGGTCCGTTATACATGGCTTTAATTAGGTTGAGGTCTGTTCCTTCTATACTCAATTTTTAAAGGGTTTTTGTCATTACAGGATGTTGAACTTTAATTCTTTTTCAGCATCAATTGAAATTATCATGTGGTTTTTGTGCTTCATTCTGTTGATATGATGTACCACATGGATTTATTTGTGTATGTTGAACCATTCTTGCATCCCTGGGATAAATCCAACTTATTCATGATGCATAATCTTTTTAATGTATTGTTTAATTCAGTTTGCTAGTGTATCGTTAAGAATGTTTGTATCAATATTCGTTAAAAATACTGACCTTTAGTTTTGTTTTCTTGAATGTCTTTTTCTAGTTTGGGGATCAGTATAACATTGACCTTCTAGAATGCATTTGATAGTGTCCCCTCCTCCTCTATTTTTCACAACAGTTAGAGTAGAAGTATTACTAGTTCTTTTTTAGATGTTTGGTAGAATTTAGCAGTGAAGCCATCGGATCCTGGGCTTTTCTTTTCTGGGAGACTTTTTTAAACAATTTTACTTTAAGTTCCAGGATACACATGCAGAATGTGCAGGTTTGTTACATAGTTACATGTGTGTCATGATAGTTTGCTGCACCTGTCAACCCATCATCTAGGTTTTAAGCCTCACTTGCATTAGCTCTTTGTCCTAATGCTCTCCCTCCCATTGCCCCCTACCCCCCGAGAGGCCCCAGTGTGTGTTGTTACCCTCGTTGTGTCCATGTGTTATCATTATTCAACTCCAACTTATGAGTGAAAACATGCGGTTTTTGGTTTCTGTTTCTGTGTTAGTTTGCTGAGGATGATGGCTTCCAGCTTTATCCATGTCCCTGCAAAGGACATTATCACATTCCTTTTCATGGCTGCATAGTATTCCATGGTGTATGTGTACCACATTTTCTTTATCCAGCCTATCATTGAAGAGCATTTGGGTGGGTTCCATGTATTTGTTATTGTAAATAGTGCTGCAATAAACATATGTGTGCATGTGTCTTTATAGTAGAATGATTTATAATCCTTTGGGTATATAGCCAGTCATGAGATTGCTGGGTCAAATGATATTTCTGGTTCTAGATCCTTGAGGAATCACCAAACTGTCTTCCACAATGGTTGAACTAATTTACACTCCCACCAACAGTGTAAAAGCGTTCCTATTTCTCCACATCCTCACCAGCATCTATTGTTTCTTGATTTTTTAATAATCGCCATTCTGAGTGGTATGAGATGGTATCTCATCATGGTTTTGATTTGAATTTCTTTAATGATCATTGATGTTGAGCTTTTTTTCATATGTTTTTTGGCTGCATAAATGTCTTCTTTTGCGAAGTCCCTGTCCATATCCTTTGCCCACTTTTTGATGGGGTTGTTTGTTTTATTCTTTTAAATATGTTTAAGTTCCGTGTAGATTATGGATATTAGACCTTTATCAGATGGGTAGATTGCAAAAATATTCTCCCATTCTGTAGGTGGCTTGTTCACTCTGATGTTAGTTCTTTTTGCTGTGCAGAAGCTCTTCAGTTTAATTAAATTTCACTTCTCAATTTAGGCTTTTGTTCCAATTGCTTTTTAATCTTTGAAGAATATTTTTGCTGAACATACTATTCTAGGGTAAAAGTATTATTTCTTCTGCACTTTAAATATGTCATGCCACTTTCTCCTGGCCTGTAGGGTTTTCACTAAAAAGTCTGCTGCCTAGGTGTACTGGAGCTCCATTTTATGTTATTTTTTTTCTTTTGCTGACTTTAGGATATTTTCTTCATCTCTGGCCTTTGGGAATTGATTATTAAATGCCTTGAGGTAGCCTTATTTAGGGTACATCTGCTGGGTGTTCTGTAACCTTTTTGTGCTTTGATATTGGTATCTTTCTCTAGGTTTGGAAAGTTCTCCGTTATTATCTTTTGAATAAACTTTCTAACCCTGTCTTTTTCTCTATCTCCTTTTTAAGGTCAGTAATTCTTAGATTTGCCCTTTTGAAGTTATTTTATAGATCCTGTAGGCAAGCTTCATTTTTTTATTCTTTCTTTGTCTCCTCTGATAGTGTATTTTCAAATAGCCTGTCTCCAAGCTCACTAATTATTTCTTCTTGATCAGTTCTGCTGTTAAAATACTCCAATTCATTCTTCAGCGTGTCACTTGCATTTTTGAACTTCAGAATTTCTGTTTGATTTTTTTTTGGTTATTTCAACATGTTTGTTAAATGTATCTAATGGAATTCTGAATTACTTCTCTGTGTTATCTTGAATTTATTTGAGTTTCATCAAAACAGCTATTGTGAATTCTGTGTTTGAAATGTTATATATCTCTGTTTCTCCAGTATTTGGTCTCTGATGCCTTATTTAGTTCATTTGGTGAGGTCATGTTTTACTGGATAGTGTTGATGCTTGTAGATGTTCATCAATATCTGGTCTTTACATCCTGGGCTTATTTGTGCCTGTCCTCCTTAGGAAGGCTTTCCAGGTATTCAAAGAGACTTAGGCTCAAAGTCCAATAATGATGTGGTTTTTGTAGACTTGTAGAGGTACCACCTTGGTGGTCTTAGATATAATCTAGAAGCATTCCATGGATTACCAGGCAGAGACTCTAATTCTTTTATCTTCCTTGCTCTTAAAGATATGGAGTCTCTCTTTCTGTGCTGAACCACCTGGCACTGGAGATGTGGTGATGCGAGCACACGTGTGGCTACCACCACTGAGACTGCTGAGTCAGCCCTGAATCTAGCACAGCACTATGCCTTGCCTAAGGCCCTTTCCTTTAGAATGGCAAGCTCCCCCAGGACCCAGGGATATCCAGCCATGCTATCTGGCAGCCAGGAATTAAAGTAAAAAGAAAGCAACTTAGCAATTTATCTGATATTCTATTTTACTGGGGCTAATCTGGCACTCAAACCACAATGCAAAGCCAGTCTTGTTATTTTTTCCCCTTTCCACAGGCAGAGGAGCCTCTCCTTGTGGCCACCACCAACAACAACCCATGGGGAGTTCTGCTAGGCTACCGCTGATGTTCACCTGAAGCCCAAAGGCCGTTCCATCAGCTTGTGGTGCATGCTGCCCAGCCTGGGACTCACACTTTAGGGCAGTGTGCTCACCTTTGGCCCATGGTATGTCCAGAAATGCTGTCCAGGAGCCTATGCCTGGACTCAAGGACTTCTAGGGCCTGCTTATTGCTCTACTCCACAGTAGTCAAGCTGATACCTAGAGTGGAAGACAAAGTTCCCTTTACTTTTCCGTCTGCTTTTTTTTTTTTTTTTTTTTTGGAGTCTCGCTCTGTTGTCAGGCTGGAGTGCAGTGGCCTGATCTCGGCTCACTGCTACCTCCACCTCCAGGGTTCAAGCAATTCTCCTGCCTCAGCCTCCCGAGTAGCTGGGACTGCAGATGTGCACCACCATGCCTAGCTAATTTTTGTATTTTTATTAGAGACAGGATTTCACCATGTTAGCCAGGATTGTCTTGATCTCTTGACCTCGTGATCCACTCACCTCGACCTCCCAAAGTGCTGGGATTACAAGTGTGAGCCACCACGCTTGGCCCCTGCTTTTCTTTAATATAGGGAGTCTTTCACCATATCCTCCACAGCTGGGAATGTTCTGGGTCACCTCTGAAGCCAGTGCATCTCATAGCCCAAGGACCATGGCATATCCCCTAGGTATTGCTGCTGGTTATTCAGGGCCCAAGGGTTCTTTAGTCAGCAGGTAATATCCTGCCAGTACTGGATCCTTCCTTTCAAGGTAGTGGGGTCCCTTTTGACACAGGCTGTGTCTAGGAATGTCATCCTGGAGCTACAAACTGGAATGGTAGCCTCATTACTCTGCCTGGTGCCCTATCCTACTGTGGCTGAGCTGGTATCCATGATGCAAAACAAAGTCCTCTTTACCCTTCATTCTCCTCTCCTTAAGCAGAAAGAAGGAGTCAGTCTCTTTGATGCAAGCTGAAGTGCCTGAGGTTGGAAGAAGCATAATGCAAGCACTCCTTTAGCCCCACAGCTGGTGTCTCCATAGGTCACATGCCACCCTAGTCCACTGGCTCTAAGCCCAGCCTAGCACTTGGAGTTGCCTAGGAATTGCAGTCCTTGTGTCCTAGACTGGCTTTCAAGTTTACCTAGGAGCCCAGAACACTTCAGTCCACAGTGGCAGGGCCTGCCAAGAACCTCAAGTTCCCACTGATAAAATGGATGAATCCTCTCTGGCTAGGGCTGGTCAAAAATGCTCCCTCCATGTGTGGGCGCTGGCTGAGCACAACATGGATTTATTCTGTTGTGATAGGGCACTGCTGAGTTCAATACAAAGTCTCTCTCTCTAAAGTGCACAGATTCTCTATGTATCAGGGCCGCTGCTGGGGGATGAGAGAGGCATGGCATCAGTGAGTCTTAACTGTCTGTCTTACTCTTTTCAATGACTCTTTTAATATATGAAGCTAAAACAAGGTACTATGATTGCTCACCTGATTTTTGGTTCTGATGATTCTGCTTTTCTGTGTGCAGATGGTTGTTAAAATTTGGTGTTCTAGTGGCAGCGGGAACAAATGATGTAAGCTTCTATTCTTCCATCTTGCTCCACCCACCCTGCCATATTCTAGTGGTTAGAAACAAACAGTGGCACTCAGGGTGGTCGGAGATTGAATAATTGTGTGACTCAAGAAGCATTGTAGCTTTTTACTTTCTTGTTTCCTTCTCAATCCAGCTTTTTAAAGGAGGTTTCTCTATTGCTGGTATTAAAATTTTTCAGCTTCTCTGTGAATCCTATTTAAGTCTGACATTTGCTCTCAGGTAAAATGTTTTGTTTTAGTTTGTTTTGCCTTTAACCTACATTCTATTTAACCATGTTCTAGCATTAATTTTTATGATATCATTTGACCATGCCATAGCACTGTTTATCAGGGTCAATTTCATCATTCTTAATTGAATGTTAATTCACTGAGCCTGTAATATATTAATTACTCAGTGTTGAGATCCTTCTTTCTTTAAATTCTCTCTTCTCTTGTCTTGTTTATTTTGCCTTTCTAGGATTTATTCTAAGTTTGTTCTGTTTTTTACTACCATCCTGCTGTGGAATTTAAATTTTAGTGGGCTCAAAATTCCTTTCCAATACTTTGTGGCTTCTTATTCTTCCAACTTCCTTGGGAAATGCCCTATGCAAAAAAGTCCTACATCTCAACACCTGACTATAGATTTCTTAAAAGCCCATGACAGATCTGATCTCAAATCTACTTCAACAGCTTCTTTGTTTCCCTCACCACAACCTATTACTCTCTTGTTATATTTTTTCACTTTCTTTTATTGCCAGATGTAGCTATTCAAAGCCTTCATCAATTTTTCTATTTCTCTCCTTCTTACATCTTTAGAGACACCAAATCCTGTTGTTTTATGGCACAAATGGCTCTCCAATCTGCTTCTATGCTATTCAACCACTTTTCTGATTCTTAGTAACTCTCACCTAGTGTTTAAAAATACCGCCTGAAGAAATGTTAGAAGTTGTTGCCACATATCAATATTCCATTTTATTTTTAGCAGAGGATCACAGACTAAAGTTTCCCCAATAATTAATAACTAGATGTATGGCTCTCTGGAACGACACATACTGTAAATCCATGAAGTATCTCTTAATGAATGTGGTGAACAAATAAACAAATTTCAACCTAAGCACCTCCTTTATATGTCTGATATATCTTAAACAAATAATATTTTAAAGCATAAATCATAAGTGCTAAATGAAGCAATTTGACAATAACTAGTAACTATGTATGAACAGTAGTAGAATTAAAATCCTAAACATATATTTTTTTAAAAAACTGATTTAGTAAGATCAAGACAATCATTTAGTTTCAAATAGAAGTTTATAAAGTACACAGGGTGTGTGAGCCTCTACATTTGGTGGCCCAGGAGGATTTATAGATAGAAGCTCTAGTGAAGTTTTTTCTCTTTTTTCTGCCTAATCCTTGCCTCCAACCTCCATTTCCAAACAATATTAATTAAGCCACTGTGACTAATATTCTTAGATTACACACTCACGCTTTATCATTCCAATACATATATCTGTTTTTGAATGGATATACAGCCAGCTAACATAATAAACTACTATGATACATTTACATTTATTACATAAGCATATTTTTGGAATCTATTTATCAAATTAGAACTTACTACTAAGACCTCTCATGGGGAGATCAAAGGACAAGGTAATTTTGTTTAAGCGAAGATTTTTAAAAATTTAAAGCATGTCATGTAACCTAGAGAGAGGGAAGTGGTCCAGGGTATTTTATCAGGAGATGACTTAAGATAAAAGAAGAAGACAGAAAAGAGAGTTACAGGTTTTTAGAACTTGGGAGGTAATGGAGTAGTAAGAGGTAAAAGTAATAATGTCTATTTATTTCTTTTTGTCCAGGACTAGCGCTCTATGACCCTCCAAAAGAATAAATTATTTTACGTGGATGAAGCTTAAGATATGCAGAAGGCATCAAGTTTATTTTATGTAAATTGATGCCAAAATGCAATTGTCATAATTAAAACACTTTCAGTTTAGTGCACACAGATGCACACACACACACACACACACACACACACACACACACACACAGAGGCACAAATTTTATCTCCCGGTCAGTGGCTCTCATGGTAAGCTGCCATTTTAATACAAAATAATAAAATACTGACAATTTATGAAAAAAATTACCATTTTAATTGATGACATTTTTGTTTATTTTTTTATAATAAAAATGACTTTGTGTCTTTGGGGAAGAAATAAAATTCTTTCTTGGTAAGTCTGAAGACATTACATGTTGACCTTTCATTTCCCAGGAGTCCTCGAGTGTGGGGACAAAGCCACCTGACCTTGTGTGACACCAATTAGACATTTGTATTGTATTAAATGTCTCGTCAAGCAGAAAAAAGTTTTTCTGCACCCTCGTGCCCTTTAAAAGAACTATGTCCTTCCAAACAAATGAGAAATAAGCACTATGAAACGAAATGGCCACTGAATAAAAAAAAATCCCCCAAATTTATTATTTTTTCTCTACTAATTAGAAAATGAAAAAGATTGTAAGATTTCTTGAGCAATATAATTTGCCTAAATGCTTTTGCTGTCTAGCATAGATAAAAATATTTTCACAATCAGGCTTTCATACAATATATATATAGCTGGAATAAGTGAAACACAACATATACAACACTGCCTTTTGGATATTTTGAAGTATTAAACCTTGCCACATTCATATGATCATTATCAGTGAAAATGGTTTGATATACAGTACATTTTCACTGTCAAGTATAGACACAGAATTTGACAGGATTTTATAGGTACAATTTTTCACAAGTGAAAGGAAACATTTCTTCCTAATGTCTATTTCTTGTTCTACATTCCTGTGTGTCTAGGATACTTTTGAGCATATATTTGATGTGATGTGTTGTTAGATGTCTAGAATGTTAACGCTGTTGTTCTTTGTAGTTTCATGAGATGTAAAGCCAACCTGGAGGCCGGGCGCGGTGGCTCACGCCTGTAATCCCAGCACTTTGGGAGGCCGAGGCGGTCGGATCACGAGGTCAGGAGATCAAGACCATCCCGACTAACACGGTGAAACCCCGTCTCTACTAAAAATACAAAAAACTAGCCCGGCGTGGTTGCGGGTGCCTGTAGTCCCAGCTACTCGGGAGGCTGAGGCAGGAGAATGGCGTGAACCCCGGGGGGCGGAGCCTGCAGTGAGCCGAGATCGCGCCACTGCACTCCAGCCTGGGCGACAGAGGGAGAATCCGTCTCAAAAAAAGAAAGAAAAAAAAAAAATAGCCAACTGGGAAATTACAGTCCTGCTGAAATAGATAAATCCTTGATTGAGAGAATGAATTTTGTTTTGCTTTGTTTCCAAATACTGACATTAGGTGAGAACGGGGGAAAAGCTATTCTTAACTGCACTTAGTATCTTGAATAATACAATATTTCACAGTGACATATATGATATTGACCTCTTATAATTAGATTTATTTATGCCCATTTCCTTTTAGGATCAAATGCACTATGACTTTTTCACTCATTAATCCAATGAATTTATTTTGATTAGCTTTATTACTTGTGATTACCTTTTGTTGTTGTTGTTGTTGTTGTTCTGAGACGGAGTCTCCCTCTGTCGCCCAGGCTGGAGTGCAGTGGCGTGATCTCAGCTCACTGCAAGCTCCGCCTCCCGGGTTCACACCATTCTCCCGCCTCAGCCTCCCGAGCAGCTGGGACTACAGATGACCGCTACCACGCCCGGCTAATTTTTTGTATTTTTAGTAGATTTTTTTTGTATTTTTAGTAGAGACGGGGTTTCACCGCGTTAGCCAGGATGGTCTCGATCTCCTGACCTTGTGATGCGCCCGCCTCGGCCTCCCAAAGTGCTGGGATTACAGGTGTGAGCCACCGCGCCTGGCCGTTATTACCTTTGTTTTTACATTACTTACACAAAGAAATGATTCAGAGTGGTGAATGAAGTTCTACTTTCTAAACTGTGGATCTCTGATACTGTAAATTTAGATCCTTCCATTTGTTTTGTATAGTTAATGTGATATAACACATAAATATATTTACTTTCGGAATACAACATACTTTTTTTCATGTGGTATTATTTGAAATCAACATGGTAAAGCCTTCGTCATTGAGATTTCTAAGTAGTATCTGATTAGACTTTTCCTCTAAGAGCGAGCTTTTTAATATATTTTCTGGCTTTTTGCTCTGAGGTTTAGTACTATAACTTGTATTCATTATATCACATAAAATGAATATAGATTTTAGTGTAATCAAAGGAAGCTTGTTTTTGTTATGATTTATATTTTAACATCATTTGTATATAAGTAAAAGAACAATTTGGGGATTTCACCAAATGTTATACTCGCAGATCTTTATTAGAGAAAAGTCTCCCACCCAGCACCAAAACACGACCATTTTCTTGCAGGTTAATTTCTGCTGCTGAGGCACATGCCCTGATTTCCACTGATATTGAATTATTACCTACAGGTATAAATCTTGAGTCAATTTTTAATGAATGGCATTCTATAGGTATAGGGTATTTTAAGTCAGCCCCCCACTTAGATAATGATCATCCCATCATGCTTTATTAAGTTAGCCAGCTTGGGTTTATGCTGTTTAATATAAACTGACCTCTAATTTTCCTGTGAACTATTATATTTGATTACAAATTAGCGTGATGGAAACCTCAGTTTCAGATTTAGAATAAAGAAACTTACTGTGTTCTATTCTTAAAGAACGTATCAGACAGAAGAGGCCACTGCAATAATTGTGATCAGGTATAAATTCTTTTATTTATTTTTGAAGCCACATTAAACTGAAAATAATTATAAATACATACATTTTTCTGCTTCCTATAGTTAAGTGGTCAGATAAAATATCTAAATATATTTTATAAAATAATAAAATATTTGGTTATTTATTGTAATAAAAAGTTTAAAGTTTTCTCATATGTACTCTTTTTTAAATTTTAGAACTTGAGATACACTCAGTAAGGTAATCTACAACCATGATAACTTAGTAACTTTTCAAAATCTGACTTACAGAATTCTATATGTTGCAATCTAACTTAAGAGGGTTAACACGGTCACCTCCTAAATAAAGTAGTAAAAACAAGGATATTTTAACTATTACATATAGATATATAAAGCTAGGTAGCTTTTTCTCATGAATAAAAAATGATAATGATTTATACATAAATATATGTGCTGATTTACCAATAAGATAAAAATTCCATAACCTTAAAATGAAAAGATTAACTGAAATCATTCCTAACTTCCTATTTACTAGTAATTTTAGTAAAAATTGCCCCATTGAATCTTTATGACCTACAGTTTAAATAAAATTGCTTTGTTATAATATCATCATTGCAAGACTTGTCATCACTGAAGTCATCTAATCATTGTGAATTTTGTTCATTGTGCTGAAGAAATAAATGTGTTGTATGCCTATGCAAAACTTAACAAACAAAAAACATTTAATATATAAAGTTACAATAATAACATGTTCCAATGGAGCTAAATTATTAAGATAATTTCTTTCACATTTACTATTTTGATGGGCCTCAAGACTTTTGGGCAAGTCAATTACTATTATTCAGATTTACAGATGAAGAAATGAAGGATTCAAGAGCACAAGTAATTTCACTAAACCTAAACCAGTGCTCTAGGATATAACTCTAGCTTGTGATGTATAACATGTTCCTTCTCCCTCTTCTTTCTATAACTTAAAGCAAAGCAAACAAAAAACCTGAAAATGTACCAACACTCAGTCTTGTGTTTATTGTGATACAACTCTCTGTCTCCTTCTCTTAATCATGTTTCACCATTCTCTCATTTTCTGTCTTCCCTGGGCCTTGTACTTACAGAGCACTAGTCATGTGGCGATATGTTTCTTGATTCTTCATATAGAAGCCCATTTCAAATTTGAGCCTTTACGTCATTATTTTCCATGTGTGATATTAAACAATTTATGCCAATAAACATAAAATATATAATCTTCTATTAGAAATTCTGATAACTCATGAGTATTTCATAGTCAGAGACAAATAGATAAAATTAACTGCATTTTTCTGTTAATAAAAAGTAAATGTATAAAAGTAATCCTTCTCCAATGTAGCCAGTGTTGACACATTTCACATTATTAATGGTTTGAAAGTATTTTTATAAGAGCAACAATAAAGCTGCACATATGTTTTTATCTAATATAAATTTTAATTGTAATACTATGAATTATATATAACAGGAAGTCAATCCAGTCAAATTTTCTAAGAGGTAGAAAACATGAAACATACAGAGTATAGACCTGTCCCGGTTGTAAAATATTTTCACATTTGAGACTGAATGCTTCACTGTGTAAGTTAAGCTTTCTGATGTGGTATACATCTCATGAATGATAAATCATTGTGCCATTGCTGATCAATTACAAATGGGACTGTATTACAGCAAGCAATTTTCTCTTGCCTAAAACTGATTACTCTTATTACCTGACAAGTCATTTCACAATTTTAAATGAGAACTGGGAGCCAAATATACAGATTGGTTGCACTTTTAGGGTGATTGATAAGGATTTAATTATAAATCATATTTTAATTCAGTTACTCTGTTCAACCAAGTATAACTTATGAAATTTAATGTGTAAAATATTAATTCAGGCTGTAATTGAGTTTGCAGTTGTACAAGGGCTCATTGCCCCAGAATTCAGTGGGCGAGATCAAAAAAGATAGCTCACTCACCTGCCCAGTGAATGAGCCTAATAAATAAATTCTTCATCAATAAAAAGTCTGTGCCTGCAATTTCTTCACTTCTCATCAAAATATAGCAGACACAAAAGAAAATAAATCTGATTTCAAATTATTTAGAAAGACAGATTCAAAGTTAAAGTGCACATGGACCTAATAACTGATTTTTCAACCTCCGTGTATGTGTATGAGTGTCTCAGAGCAGTTATCATCATGATCATCATCGTCATCATCATCATCAATTTAAATTTATTGAGTTTCTACTGGGTATTTGGCACTGAAGCCAAATGAGCAGAGAAAATAATGATATAAAGTATTTCTGGAGTCCTAACCTTCACAAGAGAATTTTTTCTTGCTCTTGTGAATAACATTAAATCAAAGCAGATTACCATGTTTTTTTTTTTTAAATAAAGCTGAAATATATTTATGAAACCTTCAGATTTTCTTAAAGGGATGACTTTTCTGCTGCTTCTGATACATTTACTTTTTAATGCTTGGCCTTAACTCCATGAGCGGAATCCTAAGCTGGTGCCTTTTGAGAATCTTTTGAAGGCATATTGTTATGCTTCTCTTTCTGAAACCTAAATGGCCTTTATACTTTCCATTGTCTGCTATGGTTTTTAAGTGCTTTTTAAGTTTTCCTGACTCTCATCCTACACAGGAAGCTTCAGTGAATACTGAATGTGTGGTTACAGTCAGGAAAGTCGCACTCATTAAAATGATATTCTGAGGTTGTCCATTTATTTGCTATTTATGAAATAGATAACGAATTTGCTATTTATGAAATAGATATCGAATTTGCTTATTGTAAAAATAGTCAATTGTTCTATCAAGATTAGAGACACAGATTTTGGTCTGAAATTTTACTCTCATAAATTACCTCTCTCCTAATCATAATAATAAGTAATTTATATTCTGGACTTAACCAATAATTTCTTTAATAATACGTTGCTGCTTGCTATTCTGGAGTTGGAGGGGTATCTGAATAAAAGGTCTGCACTAAGATATTACAAAATAAGTACATAAAAATAAAAATTTTAATTCCATCTATAGTCTAAAAAAAGCTACTTAAATGTAAAAATGCAAAAGTATAGTGATGCCTTTCTTTTTTTTAATTTATTTTTTTTATTATACTTTAAGTTTTAGGGTACATGTGCACATTGTGCAGGTTAGTTACATATGTATACATGTGCCGTGCTGGTGCGCTGCACCCACTAACTCGTCATCTAGCATTAGGTATATCTCCCAATGCTATCCCTCCCCCCTCCCCCCACCCCACAACAGTCCCCAGAGTGTGATATTCCCCTTCCTGTGTCCATGTGATCTCATTGTTCAATTCCCACCTATGAGTGAGAATATGCGGTGTTTGGTTTTTTGTTCTTGCGATAGTTTACTGAGAATGATGATTTCCAATTTCATCCATGTCCCTACAAAGGACGTGAACTCATCATTTTTTATGGCTGCATAGTATTCCATGGTGTATATGTGCCACATTTTCTTAATCCAGTCTATCATTGTTGGACATTTGGGTTGGTTCCAAGTCTTTGCTATTGTGAAAAATGCCGCAATAAACAACGTGTGCATGTGTCTTTATAGCAGCATGATTTATAGCCTTTGGTATTAAATTTATTTTTTTGAAAAACAATAATTTCCTTCCTGTCCCCTATCAGTTGTGCAACCCTTTTACTAAAACGAAAGTTTCACAGAATGATAATTATTTTGATCTGAACCTTTAGTCAAAAAATGCCTATTCACTGTTTATTTTGTGCAAGTTATCATAGAGCAACATAGGACTATTTGGAATAATTACCTTGCCCTCTCATAATATAGTTGAACTGTGATACACTGCATTGTTATTATTCAAAATATGTTCTGACCCCCACTTCAGGAATTATAGAAAACTGATGATTTAGATAGAGCTCCCTTTCCACTAGCCTGGAGCTCACAGTGAAGATAGTGACAAATAAGTACTATAAGTAAAAACTAAACCTTTGTTTTTTAAGAGCCTCAGAGAATGTTGGATTTGATAGTCATCACTGTACAATTTAGCCTAGGCTAAATCATACTGAGAGAAAAGCAAACGATCTCATGTGAAATGTTTAATCTCAAGTCTCTTTCTGATATGAAGTTAAATACTAAAGACATCTATAGTCAGTAAATAAATGTTGGTTTAATTCCTGGGATTTTGCTTGTTCACTTGTTTATTTGTATTCCACATATGCATGCATGCTCTGCTTGAAAAATATCCTACATATTTTTATTTTACTTGAAAAATAAAAATCTGAGACCTTTATTTTATAACATGCTTTATCAATGTGACATGAAATAGAGAAAAGCCATTCAAATTTTCAAATAATGAATTTATATATCAAAAAATTCTCCTGCATGAATCAAATAATCCATTTACAATTTTATCACCCAAGAAAATCAGAGTGACTTTGAGTTGTGGTAACAACTTTTAATTAGTTCAATAAGACATATTAATTTTAAACTCTCCCCTATGTGAAACATCAAGTCACCTATACTTAATTCCTTCACTTTTAACATTTTGTTTTCTGCTTCCTTCTCAGGCATTGGCTAATTCTGTTTGTCCTACTCTCTAGTTTTCTGATTTTTCCACCTTCTCAGGACACAAGTCAAAAACTGGTGATGGGGAACAAATCTCAAACCCTCATTCTGTGTCAGAATAAGGGAGGACCTAAGTGGGTTTAGTTCTGGAAGAGTTTCATTAGTTTCAGGCTCAAGGCTTGAGAATGTGGTCTCCCAGATATCCCCCTACTGCTCAATAGATGCAAGTGTCAGTTAGTCTCCATCTCCCTTCTCCTGCTCCCGTCTCTTCCCCTTTTTATCCTTCTTCCTCTTCCTCTGTTTCTCTTCCTTTTATTCTTCCTTCTCCTCTCTCTCTCTTCCTCTCTCCCTCCTCTTCCTTCCCCTTTTCTTCTTTCTCTCACTCCCCCTCCCTCTTCCCACTTCCATCACTCACTCTAAAGGAACCCTGAAATGATCCCAATGGAAAGGGTGATATTTTTTCATCTAGTTCATATACCCCTGTAATAAACAAATATGAAAGAAAAATGTTACTAAAGAATTTATAAATATAATTTGCCCATATGTTTGAAAAATATGTTATTAGTCTAATCACAATATAATGTTTCTATTGATTTCCATTTGCATGATGAACCTCCTGATTTTATCTAATTCTTACTTTTTATCATTGTACTGTCAGTTACTATGCTGCTGAGTAATGGGGCCCTGTGAGAGAGAAACTATATTCTTAGAAGCAAAGAAGTTTGCCTTTCCACATAGACAAACCCTAAATTTCCGTACTGTGCTGCTAGCATCTGTGTAAACTGCGTTGCCTTTTATTCCTTTTCTTCCCACATAGGATGTTGGTCTTGAAGTATTTGCTGAGTTCTGTCATTTTCTTTCTAAAAAGGGAATAAGAAAGGTTGACATCCCAGCTTTCAAGTTAACCCTTTGCTTCTGCTGCACTCTATTCTTCTCTCCTGTTATTAGAGTATCGCCAATGATTCTATTTCTGTTCTAATTCATATAACTGGAGCACCCATCTATATTACTTATCCTTTCTCTAACTCACAGTGCTGAATTAACATCTCTAAAATATTTCTTGATTTGCTTTAAATCTAAAAATCTAAGTAGCTCTGATTTTTCTGTGGTGGTTGTTGTCACATAACACAGATTGGCTGTGATATGAAATTTCAGCTTGCCCTTGAAAACTAAGGTTATGTAAAGTCATATTACATAAGATTGCCATAAACAATCTTATGCTTTTTTCCAGGCCCTTTAACATTTTAAATCATTTTTTTGTCCCAAAACAGAGACATTGACACATACATTAGATGAGCAAAGCCATTAACTGTTTTTTTTTCCCCTACCAGACAGGCATATTTTAATGATCGGGTTACACAAGCCTGATGATCACAATATGTAAATGATTAAAATAGTCTCAACATTTGACAAATATGTTCACACACATGCACATGTACATATACAAGCATGTCATGTTTGGATGAAGAGGACAAATTGAAAGAGACTCTTTCTAAAGGCAAATTGCAAGGCTGGCACCACAGGGCCCCTGGAAGAAAATCTCCCCTTAGTGCCTGAGGGCTGAGAAGGCAATGGCTTCAGGTACAGCTTGATTCCTGTTACTTGGATTGCCTCAATTCCAGATGCATTAAACTTTTGTGAGCATTCTTTGGGGAACAAAATTATAATACTTTTGAGGCCATGCAATCTTCAAATGGAACTTTGATAAATGATACTCATATAGGGAAAAGGAGCCTCCCCCTGCACATTTCACATGAGGGAAATGAACTTTGATTCCGAGCTGACAGTTTGATTGCAACAGTGCACATATGTTCCTGAATAGTATATCATCAAGGTAACATGCTAATCTTTGCAGGAAGCAAAAAGTCAGGAGCTGATGATATCAGAGGCAGCCCAAAAAAGGCAAATTGGCCAGGTTTATTGGTGCCATGTGATGTCTCTGTAGATTCTAATATACCAGCAACAAAGCTGTAGATAGTAACAAGAATTCATTTCTTCCCACTGGCTAATGAAACTTAAACACATGAGGACCGCTTTCTAAAGTGATTTGATTTGACACTCCACTTGGCACATCGAAGTTACTCTACTGATTGTTTTCAAAATAAAGGCTATTTCAGTTCTTTCATTTCCTCAAAGCAACTCAAATGATTCTTCCCCATTAAGTGTTCAGGAATTTGTAAATTAAGATGGAAGAAAGAAAAACTTGTGAGGACAGGTTCAGAAAATGTATTATTTGCCTTAGTTGCCTGGATGATTATGGGACTTATTATCTAAACACTGAATTGTAGTTTTAGGCCAAAAATACAGATTGCAAGTGAATCTTGCTGTCTGTCAACACACTGATGCCAATTCACAGTTGCCTTAAGTACTCTCTTTGCTTAAAAACAAAATTTAACTTCATGTCACTTGGCATCAAGACAAATTATTGCATTACTAATTTTTATTATAAATGCTATTATTAGTGCCATTTATGACATGAGCAAGAAGTATTTATTGTGCAATTGGATATTATGCTTTGAATTTCACTTGCAGGTAAAAGTAGGTATTTTTTAAAATATGTATATAGAACTTGTCATTTTATACCCCTTTTAAGTGAAAACAACCACAGTTACAGGAACTGCGTATTCAGTTTACAATCAAATTAACAAAAACTACTAGTATATGACATTCTATCACTTTGTCTTTCTCTGTATTCATGGTTGGTTGTCTTATAATCTCTTTAAATACATATGTGTGTGTAAATTTATGTATACATGTTATATATGTATATATATGAGTGTTTATATGTGCATAATATATATTTGTGAATATGTTTTCTTTCAATTAGAAGGTACAAATAATATCTGTAATAAAATATTTTAGGCTTAATTTTTTTATTTTTTTTTTGAGACAGAGACTCACTCTGTAGCCTAGGCTGGATTACAATGGTGCAATCTTGGCCCACTGCAATCTCCGCCTCCCAGGTTCAAGCCATTCTCCTGTGTCAGCCTCCCGAGTAGCTAGGATTACAGGCGCCCGCCAGTACACCTGAATAATTTCTGTATTTTTAGTAGAGACGGGGTTTCACCGTGTTGGCCAGGCTGGTCTCGAACTCCTGAGCTCGGGTGATCTGCCCACCTCGGTCTCCCAAAGTGCTAGGATTACAGGCTAGGCTTACTTTTAATAGTTAATCTATCTAGTGAAATAGTCCACTAATGTCTTTAAAGTGGTACATTTCTCATCTAGTAGAGTAGCAATATTCCTCCTGATATCTGGACACATGAAATGTTATGATACCATGATCTTAGAGTAAAGCCAAAACACACATCCTAGAGCAGAGGGAAAAATAATAAATTATGTAACCCATTCCTAGTTTCTGGAACTGTTCATCTGACATGTCTTTTTTCCTACTTGAATATAAATATATATCATTATAGTATTAAATAACCTCATTATAGACCTTTTACATATCGAGATGATGAACTGTATCCTTCTTTATTATTTTGTTTTTATTATGTAAAAATAACAACATAAACATTAAACAATTAGGGTTAGAATCATAGGGTATTATGGGTATAGATACAATTTTGGAATCTCAAAACATGAGGTATATTTACAGATTAGACCCCTGGTTTCAAAAGTAACTAATAAAAATCAATCACATCATGTATTTGGTTGTTTTTGAGGAATCAGACAATATTTTAATTTTACAGTAAAATTCTCTGTGAATGCAAGGTAAGCATTATTTGGGCCTAAGGGAACAAAATAAAATAATATTGGCATTATATGGAACTGAGTGATTGTGTGATAACTAGTAGAATATGAAGAATGCAAAGGCAGTCTTCTACAAACTTTTTATTTTTAACATATTTTGTGATGTGTGCATGTGTGTTGGTGGGGGGACTTATTTGGAAATGGGTTGTTCTCTGTATCTAAAGCTTTTATCAATGAGTTTATGAGCTATTTAATAGCATAATACAAAACCAAAAAAAAAAAAACTCTTAGCATTCTCTTTTTTTTAGTCTTAGATTAGTATGTATTGGAGATAGTTTAATAGTTTTGGCATCCTTAATTCATGTCATTCGTTTCTGGCTCATGCACTGGTAGGTATTCACCTGCCCATCTGAGGAACCCAATTCTTTAAGAACAAGATCTAGAGGCAGCCCCTGTCACATTCTCTTGTCAGGACTCTGTTACTTTTTTATTCCTACTTAGAAGAGAGGCTAAGAAACGTTCCCGTTAGCTGGCTGATCTTGTTCCTATTTAAACCCTGACATTATAGAGTAAGACAGGTATTAGCAGTCTGCAAAAGAATTAAAAAAAAAATGAAACTCCTAATTTCCATTTCAAAACCTCCTTCACAGAGTTTGCGAAAGGTGTCTGGCAATGCAGCCACTAATTCCTCAATCACAAAATCTAAAAGCCATCTTTTATTACTCTCCTGTTCCTCTTCCATCTTGAAACCTTCATCCATAATATATTTCCAAGTTGTCCCCCTAAAGCCCAAAAATTATTGTCCCAAACTTTCCCTAAAACTCTAAAAAATACATTTTTTTTGTAGCTAGGATAGAATCCAGTCTACATTTCTAATCCATCATTTTAATACATATGTCTTTTCTAGACCTTCACCTTTCTGATGAATCTCATCTTAATTTTATGAGTAAATGCCTCACAAGCACACATAGGACTTTTCATTCTCCTACATTTTCTTAATAAGTTCACTTTCCAACTCTCAGAGGTAATACTATGTTTCTTCACTTCCAATCTATATAAGCTCCATCAACCTTCTTCCTCTCGTTTCTTATTTATAGAAATGAATAGACACCTTCATATAAAAATAAACTCATCGTCACAAAATCTAGTAAGCTATCTGCATGGACTCCAGGGTTTTTGCTGTTGTTGTTGTTTACTGTGAAAAAAGGATAAATGATCTTTTCTCTTGTGTAAAAGAACAAACAGCCCAGGCCGGGCGCGGTGGCTCACGCCAGTAATCCCAGCACTTTGCGAGGCCGAGGCGGGCAGATCACAAGGTCAGGAGATCGAGACCATCCCGGCTAACACGGTGAAACCCCGTCTCTACTAAAAAAAAAAAAAAAAAAAAAAAAGCCAGGCAGGCACGGTGGCAGGCGCCTGTAGTCCTGGCTACTGAGGCAGGAGGCAGGAGAATGGCATGAACCTGGGAGGCGGAGCTTGCAGTGAGCCTAGATCGCGCCACTGCACTCCAGCCTGGGTGACAGAGGGATACTCCATCTCAAAAAAAAAAAAAAAAAAAAAAAAAAAAAAGACCAACCCAGGGACCTCTGCTTTTCTGCTTTTATCCACTTGAGGACTCAAACATGTTTTAAAAATATTATCTTTCTTCTTACATTAAAAAAAAATAATAACCTATTCTAACCCTAATGACCTTGAATTCCTCTTATCTTTATGATCTTTCCTCATTCCTTTTTTGGTTTGTATGTTTTCGGGATTTCTATTGCATTGCATCAGCTTGTAACTTTACAATCCTTCTGACAAACGTTGGTTCTTCTTCCCAGCCTTTACCTTGTGTAGCGCCCTTCACTCAGCGTCCTGCATTTACGAGCTCACCTTACGTGGCATACCATCTAAAACCATGTATATTCACATTTTAGAACTTCCATAATAACACAACACAGCTTCAGTGACTTCAATAACAGAAATGTATTTTCTCACAGTTTTGGGAACCCAAATCAAGACGGCAGCAGGTTCAGTTTCTTCTGAGAAGTTGGTTGCCTTCCTGCTGTGTCCAAGCATGGCTTTTTTCTCTGTGTGCGTGCAACCCGAATGTCTCTTCCGCTTCTAATAAGGACATCACCCATACTGGATTAGGGCTCCACCCTAAAAGCCCCATTTTTAACTGAATTACCTCTTCAAAGAGCTTATCTCCAAATATACTTACATTCTGAGGTACTGGTGGTTGAGACTTTGATGTATGAATTTGACGGTACTCAATTCAACCTAAACATCATGGTTTTTAAAAACCCTGACTACTCCCAAAGTTACATCCGGGTTCCTTAGCTTCAGATTTGTACAGAATGTCGATTGACACTTCAAGTCGAATATATAACACACATCTCAAGCTCCATATGCCCCAAATGGAACAGAACATCACCTGGAAAAGCCACCGTCATCTCTTAAATAGATTATTACCATTGTCTTCTAATACTTTCCACTTTCTGCCGTCAACCCTAGCCCTACCATACATTCTTAAACAGAGTGAGCTTTTTTCTTTTTTTTATTTCAATAGCTTTTGGGGTACAAGTGGTTTTTTGTTACATGGGCAAATTATATATTGGTAAAATCTGAGATTATAGTGTACCTGTCACTGGAGTGGTGTGCATTGTACCTAATGCGTAGATTTTTATCCCTGGGCCCCTCCCTTCTGAGTCTCCAAAATTCATTATATCGCTCTGCATGCCTTTGCATACTCATAACTTCCTTCCGTTTCTAAGTGAGAACATACGGTTTTTGGTTTTCCACTTCTGTGTTACTCCACTTAGCATAATGGCCACCAGTTCCATCCCAGTTGCTGCAAAAGATATTGTTTTGTTCCTTTTAATGGCTGCCTAGTGTTCCACTGTGTATATATATCACATTTTCTTTATCCACAGATTAATCATTTTAAAATAAAATTTATATAGTGTGATCAATAACCCTGGTTTACTTAAGCTAAGAGCTTTCACAAGAAATGAGACTTTTAGAACAAAGACTGGGAAAGTCCCAGGCAAACCAGAATAAGTTGGTCACCCTAAATTCATATAATATTAGTCTTCTACTCAAAAAATCTCCAGAAGGCATTCATCTCCTCAGAATTAGAGTCAGAAGTATTTTAAAGTTTCATATCCCTTCTTTGACTTTATTTTATGCCTTTTTTTTCCTCATTTGACTTTAGTCTAAAAATTTAGAAAAACATGGCACTTTCTCTCTTCTCAAAGTCTACCTTCAGAATTTATCATCTTGATAAAAAAGTTTAATACCCACTCTGAGGTCCTTGGGGCATTTATGTGAATCCCTTGGGGCAAAAACTTCAGAAGTCTTTAGGGCAGTGATATACAACCACAATTCTACCCTTCTCCACCAAGGGGAGTAATGTCTGCAAACTGTTTTGTTTTCACCACCTGAGAAGTGAATGCTACTGGCAAGTAGTGGATGGGATGTAGTGGCCTAGGATGCTGATAACGTGCACTTCACAACTCCCCAAAACAGAGAACTTTCAATCCCACAATAACAAGCGTGCTGTTAAACATTGTCCTAAGAGATGGAATACACAAAGGGGAAAAGCTTGAAGGGGAAAGTAGAAGCCATCTCTGAGGCATTTGAAAATATATTCTTGTTATATTTTTCTACTTGTTTATGTGTGGAACTCTCCAATTCATGTCCATACATCTGATGTAAAGAGAAGAAACTATATTTTCACCAGAATTCTCAATGCTTGGAACAGCAGGAATCTGCAGATAGCTGCTTAATAAATATTTGTCAAATATATTAATGAAAAAAAGATGGATTAGTGTTTGGTAGGGAACAGAAAGCTACTGATTTACAAAGAAACAAATAGCAACTTTTTTCTTTTAACTTTTTAACTGTCTAACTTATGTACAGATAAGAGACTATCTAAGTTCCTTATTATTATCAGTTTGGAATATTTGCAGCAATAAAGTACAGTAAGTGAAATATATCACAAAATATCTTTTGAAATTGATAAGTAATTAAGTGACAAGAAAACAAATAAAAAACTATATGAACAAATGAATAATGAATGAATACATTTAGAAAATTTTAAAAGAAAGCCAAAAGGGTATATTTACTTTTTAATTATCATTTTTCGAGAGTTATCTAACATTTTAACTAATGCTTTCATTTTGAGATAATTGTAAAGTCACATTAAGTTGTGAGAAATAATAGAAGATTCCATGGATGCTTTCTTTGGTTTCTCCTGATGGTAACATCTTGCAAAATATGTACTCAATATGTTTATATTCAATTTTATAACATATCTACTGAAAACTCATTTTATCTAGTATATTTTTGTTAATCGTAATGTATAATCTTTTTGCAAGTAATGTATTCTGAATGAGACCCTTTTTTGGTCAGGGTTTGTATATCTACTTCTAAATCGAGCGTAGTGTGGAAGCCATTTTAGAAATATTTCAAAAGATAACTAATTCAATTATATGTGTATTTATTATTTTTAGCTTCCATTTTATAAGCTGGCACTGCATGATCATAATAGTTTTGGGGACACATCATATTTTGATATATAGTTACCACTTATAAATATTGTAAAAATTAATTTAAAAATGTAAACATGTTCTTTAAATGTATGTAGAATCTGCCTTGCGAGAAGAGAAAAATAGCTTAGAGCAGTCTGAGCTGTGTGAGGTATGCAAAATTTATCAGGCCCAGAGAGACATAAGTATCAGACTTCAGTCACGAACTTCCCTAGACCACCACACCACAACCATGTACCCATGCCCAGAGGCAATTTTTTTTTTTTTTTTTTTTTTGAGATGGAGTCTCTCTCTGTCACCCAGACTGGAGTGCAATGGCGTGATCTCAGCTCACTAAAACTTCTGCCTCCCAGGTTCAAGCGATTATCCTGCCCTCAGCCTCCTGAGTAGCTGGGATTACAAGCATGTGCCACCACGTCAGGCTAATTGTTATATTTTTAGTAGAGATGAGGTTTCACCATGTTGGTCAGGCTGGTCTCTAACTCCTCACCTCTGATCCACCCTCCTAGGCCTCCGAAAGTGGTGGGATTACAGGTGTGAGCCACCGCGCCCGGCCCACAATTGTTTAAAGGTATTTTGTTCCTGAATAGCTGCCTTACTCATTATCTTTATGTTCCTTAGCTTTCTGATACAAATAAAAATGTATAGCCAATCAATAATTTATGTTATTTTAATGTAAATTCATGGCAAAGAACTTAGAAACTACCTCTTCTTCTTCTTTAAAATCCTACTTGTAATTGCTCCTAATCAGAATATATATTTAGGGCAACTTGAATCTATGCTCTTCAGTTGCAATCCTTAAGCTTGGCTCAAATAAACTCTCTACTTGCGTGAAAGTTACCTCTTCCCTTTAGATCCACATTTGTAACAGAAAGAATTTCAGATGAATTGAGTAAGTTCTTAAAATGTGACAAAATAACATAAAGTAAATATAAAATAGTATGTTAAAGAGCTGGCAGTAAAGTAAAGGTATTACCAGCTATAAAATATGCAAATAATCTAAGAATTACATCCACATAATTAACCAGAATACTGCCTGAGTTGCCAAGGAAAATAATTTTCATTTTTATTACTGGGTAAGAAGGACCATCTGAGACTTCGGATGGTGAGTAAGGGTGACTTTGCCCTAGTTCATAAAATATCAGGACAGCACATTTCAATATGATCAGATTAGAAAGAGCCCAGGGAACATCCATGATGATAAAAGATGACTAAGATTAAACCTTGTGTGAGTTAGACATTGTTATTGATGCCATAAGTAACACAATACCATGTGCTCTCTAAGCTGCAATGTGCTCTCAAGGTGGTCATGTGGATAACAAGACCAATTGGCTTTTTCTTTTGGGTAGATGCTATTGGATGGTCTTACATGCAATACAAGAGAATTTGAAAATGCTAAAAGGGAAAGTGTAAAACTGTGGTGGAATCAAATTAGATATAAGAGTTTTGGTGAGATGAGCCCCTATATAATTATAATGGTTTATTATATTTTTGCCATTGCCATTTTTTTTTTTTTGAGACAGAGTCTCACTCTGTCACCCAGGCTGGAGTGCAGTGGTGCGATCTCCACTCACTGCAACCTCTGCCTCCCTGGGTTCCAGCGATTCTCCTTCCTCAGCCTCCTGAGTATCTGGGATTACAGGTGTCTGCCATCATGTCTGGCTAATTTTTTGTATTTTTAGTAGAGATGGGGTTTCACCATGTTGGCCAGGCTGGTCTCAAACTCCTGACGTCAGGTGAACCACCCACCTCAGCCTCCCAAAGTGCAGGGAATACAGGCGTGAACCACCGCGCTTGGCCTGTTGTTGTTGTTGTTATTGTTGTTTTTTATTATACTTTAAGTTCCGGGGTACATGTGCAGAACATACAGATTTGCTACATAAGTATACATGTGCCATGGTGGCTTGCTGCACCCATCGACCTGTCATCTACATTAGGTATTTCTCCTAATTCTATCCCTCCCGCAGCCCCCCACCCCCCAACAGCCCCCAGTGTGTGATGCCCCCCACCGTGTCCATGTTTTTTTTTTTAAACTTGATAATTGTTTATTTATTAACGGCAGAATTTGGGAGCCAGAGGATTTAAGATACAATTTTGGTTTAGTTCCCCCTTCCCAAATTAAACATCTTACTGAAGGGGTTTATTTTGGAAGAATATTGACTGGCAGAAACTATCAATCAAGGTACTTTTTGGACCTCAGGAAACTCATTTGGAATGAGACTTCCCTGGTGACTAACCTTAAAATATAATAAACTCAGCATTATAATTATGGAGGATGAATACATATAGATACCTAATGTACAACATGAGGACTATAGTTAATGATATTGTATGGTGTAATGGAAATTAGCTAAGAGAATACATTTTAGGTGGTCTTAGCACACACACGCACATACACACACACAGTTGACTGTGAGATGAGGGAAATGTTAATTGGTTTTATTGTAGTAATCACTTTCCTATATATATGTATATCGAGACATCATGTTCTACATCATTAATTTATACAATAAAAATAGTTTGAGGCTCATGATTAACCTCTGGTAGCTTACTCAATTTTTTACTTTAGTCAATATATCCATACTTTTCATCCACTATTTTACCTGTTTTGTTCTCTTTTCACTTTTTCTTTATGTGGTTCTGTGATTCTTAAACACGTACACTTTCTTTTTGTTATTGTTCTATTAATCCTTGAAACATTTAGAAACATACATATTCTTCTGTTCTTTACTAATCTGATAGGTTTACACAACAACCTTAGAGAAGAAGGAATATTTTTGGAATATTTTTGTTACCAGAACTAGCTTTTCTTATGCCAGCCTCAATATATTAGCTGAGTTAACCTTTGTATTTATTTGTGAATTATGGTACAATACTGTATACCTTGATTCATAAGTGGCTTGCAAACTCTCCCATTTTTGTATGGTTCTGTCTTGTTGCATAATTGAGCGTCTTTCTCTTTCTCTGCTTTTCTCTCATATAGGAAGTCATCTCTCTCTCGCTTTCTCTCTCTCTCTCTCTCCTCTCTCTCCTCTCTCTCTCTCTTTCTCTCTCTCTCCTCTCTCTCTCTCCTCTCTCTCCTCTCTCTCTCTCTTTCTCTCTCTCTCTCCTCTCTCTCTCTCTCTGTGTGTATGTGTGTGTGTGTGTGTGTGTGTGTGTGTGTGTGTGTTTGTGTATTTGCCCTTGTGGGCATTGTTGTAGGCTGAATAATATCCTTCCCATGGTGTCCATGTCCTAGTTCCTGAAACCTGTGAATGATACATGGAATATTGCTTTGTCGATGTGATCAAGTTAAGGATCTGCAAATAGGGAGATTATCCTGAATTATCTCTTAGAATCCAAGGAGGAGTTCAAAATTCAATTTACATAATTTGTACATTTACATATACAATTAAATGGTTTTTAGTGTACTTATTGGGTTGTACAACTATCAACCTAATTTAATTTCAGAACAATTGGATTACCTACAAATAAATCTCATGCTCATTCTTGAGGATATCTTTTTTAATAAAAATAATACAACTAATGGTTAATAAAGGTAACAGCATCCCAGTCATACATGGTCAAAATAATTGAGCCATCCTTCTGTTAGCAGTGGAATGCAGATGGCAATCGGATAATGACAGATTAATGATCCTTAGGGAAATGTCTGTGATCCTACACAATTTACTGTAATACTCTTCATGGAAAACACCCATTAAAATTATAATACATCCTGTTTAACTCTAGAATAGTAATTTAGAAAACATCTCTTTCTCTCTGCTTTTCTAGAATCTCATATGACTTAAAAAGAATCTAGGCCAGGCGCGGGGGGCTCACGCCTGTAATCCTAGCACTTTGGGAGGCCGAGGTGGGCAGATCACGAGGTCAGGAGATCAAGACCATCCTGGCTAACGTGGTGAAACCCCGTTTCTACTAAAAATACAAAAAATTAGCCGGGCGTGGTGGCGGGCGCCTGTAGTCCCAGCTACTTGGGAGGCTGAGGCAGGAGAATGGCGTGAACCCAGGAGGCAGAGCCTGCAGTGAGCCGAGATCGCGCCACTGCACTCCAGCCTGGGCGACAGAGTGAGACTCTGTCTCAAAAAAAAAAAAAAAAAAAAAAAAACTAAAAGAAAGCAGCAAAAATATATAGAAATTAAAATGATTATAATGTTACTACAAAGTACAGCTGTTAATTAAGTGGACACTGAGTGCCAAAATGACCCATATTAGTTACTAGGGTTGGGATAGCAGTTTGTCACCAAGATTTTAAAAATTAATATGCAAGAAGACTCTTTTTCATCATAATCTTAAATGGCCTCAATATATAAATCAACTAATTGTTTAGGAAAAACACAATATTTCTTGGTATAAAATTAGAATTATTTATGTCAAATGGTCTCCTGATGAGGACAGTGTAATAACGTGGAGTCATATATCTAACAAATATTTATTCAACCTAGGATTTGTCAGGCATGATACTGTGTGCTTGGGATGCATCAAAGAAGAAATAGTTGAAAATCCCTTTGCTCAAAGCACCCATACACATTGTGTCTCCTACTCCACTGGCCTTTACAGAGAATCAACAACAAGTTATGTAAGGTTGAAGGCATCACCACACAATCACAACTTAGTAAAAACAATTTTAAAGACGGCATGTACTGTGTCCTTGCAAATCATTTAGTATCATAATTCTTTTAGTAAATTTTGGCTGACATTGACTGAAGATTTTACTCTCTGGAAAATGCCAGGAATACAGCTCTTCTGTATGGCCATTGGAATTCAGAGCCATGCTCTTTGGGAGCAGTCAAAGTGGGGTAGAGTTATAATCCTTTCATAGAGGCTGAAAATCTCATTAAAGTCATCTGAGGTGAGCTGTGAGAGTTTCCACATTCAGGACTCAAATTCGCTGCAGAAAATTGTTTTGAATCAGCTTTACCCCATAGAGCTATAATCAGGGATGCTAGATCCACTCTAAAAGCCACTTAGTTCTACTCAGAAATAATTTTCATATCAGCATATAACTAAGTATATGTTTAGATAAAAATAGCAGCTTAATAAAACACTCACAGAAACTTTACATTAAGGAATGATATTTTCCCACCTAATTTTTATAAAACAGCTATGATTTTAAAACTGTAAGATCTTTAATGTAGAGGCATGGTACATCTAATTTTTATTCTCTCCATTTTATTCCTAATATTTATAAGTATCTTAAGCAGCACTGATGTACTTGATTTTCATGCAAACTTTTCTAAAAACTTTAAAAACAGGTTACTTATCTTGCTTGTAGATATGAATGAGACAGAAATCTCATTCATTTGACCCCAGAACCCAGAGCTGTAATAATCATATTTATTGAGCACAAAGTGTGTGCTAGAAACTGTAAGCATCCTCATTTAATTTCTGTAATGTATCATTAGCTACATTTTGCATATTAGGTTAAAAAAACTCAGAAAAGTAAAGTAAATTTCTTGATGTTACACAGAATTTCTTTTTAGCAAGTGGGTTGTTTAAAAACCTCTGTGACTAAAATATGTCATTTTTAACTAGCTGATTGTGTATCTGTCCATATCTTAGTTCTATCTCTGTCTCTGTAATCTCTCTCTCTCTCTCTCCCTTCCCTCCCTCTCTCTTTCTTTTTCTCTCTCTCATTATTTTTTTTCCTTATACCACAAGGCAAAGCATATTCTCTGTGTCTCTGTGTACCAGGCACTTCACTAGAATTGTGCATTCCTTTGTTACACTCCGATGAATAAAGATACAAACGGCCATGTGCTGAGGCTTTTGCTTTCAATGTTGCTGATTCAAAGAACAGTATAAATTGCAACTGGTGAGCAGAAGGGTTCTTGTAGTAGAGGGGGGCAAAAGAAAACATTTGTATCAGAAGAAAGAGCCTGAACAAAAGTATAAAGACATTAAAGAGCATGGCACAGGGAGAGAATTATAACAGTTCAATTGGTCAGTTTGTAGATGAGCAGGTGTTTAAAGAGGTTGGTCAATGTCAGCATGAATCTTATCTAGGAGGCAGGGAGAAGGTGCTATGTAATTTAAGAAGTTTATGAAAGAAGATCATTCAGGGTGCCTTAGTGTGAAAGTGGGCAAGAAGGTGGACAGAAATACTAAGAAAGAAGAAAGGACAGCCAGGATCAAGGTAGTCGCAGCAAAGCTGTAAGGGAAGTAACAGATAGAAAACATTTACGGTCAACATTTACTGGACCTAGTGAGTGAATGCTTGAATATGGGAGTGAGATGCAGAATGTGGTGAATCCAGTGATGGATCCTCAGAGGACTTGCTGCCCCCAGTGAGGCCAGCGGAACTCACAGTGCAGCTGTGAGTTCACTTAGGGCTCACAGGTCTCCCAAGGTTATGCCCTTCCCTAGGGCGGCCTGCATTCAGTGACTGATCATAGAGGAGATACAATGGCCCAGGCACTTTAAGGTGGCCAAGGACCATCTGAAGATGGGTCATTCTATCTCCAGAACTTTGTCTGTGGCTTCATGGAGCCAGCGTGGCACTTCAACCAGTCCTGCTGCCCAATCTTGTTTCTTTCTCTTCTTTTAACAGATGAGAGTAGTTTCTTTTTAAAAAAAATATACACAGACACTATCTTAGCATCTGCTTTTGAGACTCCAACCTGTGATAATAATGCCGAAGTACCTGAATTGAGGCTTTGTTATCAAAAGAGGAAACAGCAAAGAGGACAGTGTTAAAAAGCAATGTATTCAGTTGGAGCATACTGTATTGGAGGGAACAGTAGATGAACTAGATGATTATCTCCTGCAGATGGAAGGATAATCAGGACTATGACTCAGGAATAAAGAATTAGAGGAAATTTGTATTTGGGGACTTTTAAAAACAACAAATCCAAAGTACCTTTTATATGTTTATGTTATAGATATATTTTAGAGGCTTTTAAAAAAATTATTCTGTTTAAAAACTTAAAAAAATTGTTTATGGCATGAGAGTATTTTTAGCAATTATTTTATTGCTTGGCATTTGAATATTTATGAATTGACTCTGCCACACACCTTGGGGCCTTCTAGTATTTTCGAAGGTTTACAGCAGACAAGTCCAAATTGAAGTCAAGATTCTGTCCCCTTAGCAGCCTTTTCAGGATGTGGCATCCCTTATGTCAAGCTATTTTCTTGATTAACCAATTTATGCATAACTGACAAGGTGTCCCAATTGCCTGGTTATGATATCTTTGTTCCTTCTTTGATGGGACAGTGATTATGTTTTCATGGACTTTCTACACACACATTTGTCAGGTTTTAGCTGTTGCTTATGTCCTCAGGTTATAATTGATGCCCAAGGGTAACTTGCACATCTAAATGAAAACAGTTAGTGATTATTCACATCCTATCATTTATAAACACAGGAAAAGATACAAGAAAGTTTGTTTCTTTACCTTCATGTCTCCTATATAGGCATTTGAATGCTGAATGCCATCATCGGACTTTGCTGCTTCCAATTTAGCTCGTTTGTGCCTTTTTGATTTCACATTTCATTAGTTAATAGATTGGATTTGTGCCAAGAAAATAATATATACATGTATGACTTTGAAGTTGGAGTTGAGAGTGCATAGCAAGAAAGGCATTTCCTACTAATAACCAAATGAGAAAGCCAACATAAGTACGTGCACACACACCCCCTTTCTTTCATAGAAAGAGCTTAATTCTATGTTGTCTCATATCTAGTGAAACAGGCAAAAATAGTCAAATGAGTGTAACCTGTAGCCAAGGTGACCATGCGTCTTGGTTTATGCCTTGGTTTCTACACAATTATTTACGGCATCTCGTTAACTCTCCAAACTGTCCTGGTTTACATATTAAATTACGTAGCTGCCTTATCTAGGATACTTCTAAATTATTTTAAAAATTAGCTTATCAACATGCTGAGTAATATGTGACCTGACAGAAAACTTTTATTAAATAATTCTCATTTATGACTAAAATATTTACTCCTAGAAGGGTGGGTGGTTTGAATACTTTTGGGGTTGTTATAAAATGTTTAGTATAATTCATTTTGGAAAATATAGAATGTATTAATGATTAATATGATCCTAAAATATATTAGTTTCTGAATCTTATGGTATCACCATGGTGCGGTGGAATGATCTCTGAGCTATCATACAAGCAGGTGACTTAACAAAGTTCACAATTTTCTCTGAGACTTTGATAGGGTAGCCTACTGCTCTCTACTTTGAATTCTCAAATAATATAGTTGAACATAGTTGACATATTGTCTAGCTCAAAAATGTTATAAATTTGTAAGATAATCGGTCATGAACTGGCTTCAGTGGCAGAAATCTCTTCAAATTATCCATGATTCTATGAGTATTTGGATAATGAGGATATTAGTTTATTTCATTGCTTAAATGAACTAACATTGGCCTTTTTTGTTACTGCTGACTAAAATGTAGAAATTGTGATATCAATAATTAAAAATGAATCTTTATGATACATTTCAAATCACTTTTTTTCCATTAATTCTATAGCCCTCACTCCCCAGTTAGAAAAATATTTTATTGGCAGCTTGTGTATTATAATTTTCAAAGTTTTAAAGCAAATTGTTGCATTGATAATATAAACACTTTCAAGTGTTTTGTTTGTTGTTTAATGATGTAATCAAAATAATATTAATAAAAGCTATTTAATTTAAACCTAAACAATAAACTAATGTGACATGTTTTTATTGAATGGACTTTTTATGCTGAAAAAAATCATACATTTGTCATTGTATTGACAAAGACTAAGTACACTTTTTCTTCTTTAAATTCTTCTGAAGAGTCTTTTAAAACACGTCCTTTCATATATTTAAAGTGCTCCTTTCTCAATGAGATGTCTTACTGTCATAACAATTTGACATTTAATCAGATATACTATCTTCATGTTTGTAATTTAAAATGCTGTTTCTTAAAATATTTGCACCCACATTTTTTTTGCCTCTAGCTCTCTTCCTCTTTCTTCTTCCTTTTTAAAACAGATATTAGCCAAAGCAGTATACACTTCTTAGTTATTCAACCACATTCATATTTCAACATTTATCATCCAGTTTAGCTTTCACTCTAATGGTTAACATGATATTTTTAAGTTAGCCAACAGTCTCTTAACTCAGAAATCATGTGTGTGTGTATGTGGTCTTTAATCAGTTTTACGTTCCTAGTGCACTTAACATTCATGATGATTTCTTATTTTTAAAGAATTATTCTCTTTCAAACAATAAACAATAGTTCATTTTACTCTTTTTCCAAAATTACTCTTATTTTGCCTTCTTTTTTCTCTAGATACATATGTTTTCAGAGACCTGTACACTGATAACTTTGTTACTCTTTTCCTAAGCTATTCTCATTTTTTAGAATTTTATATGTTCCAATGACTTGAATATCTATGTAGATCATTCAAATCTTTTTAGATGATCCAAAATTGAGAATTGCATTCCCTACTTTGAAGATGCTTTATTGACATCTTCATCTGGATTTCCTGCAAGCGGTTTAAATTCAACCTATCCAAGGCGGAATTCAATACCCACTTCCTGGAAAAATATCTACTCAATCTCCATTAATTGCACACTCTCCTAGTGTTATGAAATAAGCCTCCTGGAATAATTTTTAATGAAATTTTATCACACTTATATATACATGAGGTTACCAGATCATACAAATGCAATTTATACAGTCTCTGATTTGAATATTTGCATTGTTATTTCTTGACACAAGCACTAATTTGCCTATGTACATGCATGTGTCTGTGTGTGTGTATGTAGAGCGGATGTACTAGTTTTGTTCATTTCTTTCTTACTTGTTTTTCTTTCTCTGAATCCATTTTTATTTTATTGACCTTATGTCTGAAATGAGTTTTCTTTTTATAAATTGATCACAATATTTATGTGTAATATATAAAACTAAAAATATAATTGTTTTTGTATTTTATGTATTTAATTTTTGAGACTCTCTCTCACTCACTCTCTCTCTCTCTCTCTCTCTCCATATATATATATGTACCTATATGTTTTTATAAAGTAGATGGGCTGGGAGCAGTGGTTCACACCTGTAATCCTAGCAATTTGGGAGGCTGAAGTGGGCAGATTGCTTGAGCTCAGGAGTTTGAGAGCAGCCTGGGCAACATGGTGAGACTCTGTCTCTACCAAAAATACAATAAATAAATAAATGAATGAATGAATAAATAAATAAATAAATAAGCTGGGCATGGTGGCATGTTCCTGTGGTTCCAGCTACTTGGGAGGCTGAAGTGGGAGGATCTCTTGAACCCGTGGGATGGAGGTTGCAGTGAGCCAAGATCAAGCCGCTGCACTCCAGCCTGAATGACAGAGCAAAACCCTGTCTTGAAAAAAAAATTAAAAAATAAAAAGGGGATGAAAAATGTTTGTTTTAGGTGGTTACTAAATTTCCATTATTATAAAATTGGGAGTCAAAATCTCTATGTTTCACTGAAATTTTGCAGTATATTTTGTTGTGGCTGAAGTTTACTTGGCTCTTTTGTAGAATGCAAGTTTTTATTTTCTGATGATTCAAAAATGACACTTTACTCATGTGGTGCTTTAGTCATTTTTCTTTATGCATCCATACTACATATTTGATGACAGTAAATGTTTCTTATCCTTGTCATCTCTGTGAGCTATATTAGTTTGGGATTGGCCTTGTGACCTGTGCCAGGTGGATAGTGTGCCCCTGACAACTATTTGGTGAATGAATGAATAAAATATTTTTTTTGGTAGAAAGTGTCTTGGGAACAAGGGCAATATTTTACATATCATAATAGCCACCCTATTCCAGCATCTGCTCAACAGCTTTTAAATACGCCTGGGTAGAATTTAAATATTCCTTGATAGAAAATCTTGTTCAATAAAAATACATTGCCGAACTTAGTCTCTAAAATAAAGGACAAAGTATATAAAATCCACACAATTTTTAATACCTTCACTGCTATTATGAATGAAATGAACTGTATTATTTTATGATCAAGGTTAGCAATGTCAAAAATACTCTTATTGTTATGCAAAATATTAATCCATTTTATACTTGGGTCATAGAAAATGTACTAAATATTGTTTAATTGAATGCATTCGTATTTAGCTTAATATTATATACCTTGGGAAAATAGTTTTAACCTTTGAGAGAAATCTGATAAAGTTACAAATGCTATTGGTTTTCTATTTTAGCTCTGTACATCAGAACAACACCAAACCTATTTAGGAAATGAATGAGTTTTGTATGTGACCGTTATGGATTCTGTATGGAAACAACATTACACACACTAAATCCAAAAATCAGTTTCCTAATGGCTGCATTCATACATTTGAGAAATGTTTCATAACATTTCACAGCATTATGCTGAAATATGTTATATTGAGAGTTGAGCTTTGGTGCAAAACGTTAAAAATGTACGGCTTCAAAATTGTTGTCATTCACGTTTTTCAATTGAAAACTGGAGTATGGCAGGGCTGGTAATCAGTTATTTGAAAGTGACAGCTGTAATAACCTGGTAGGGAATTCTCAGAATAGTTCAAGATTTTGACCTTTGTAAGGTATAGATTTAAGGGGAAATATAATTTGGAACTTCAGATGGAAGAAACATCCGCTTTCCTGGGCTAATATTAGACAGTCTTTTTAAAAATATATCAAGAAGAACCAGTTAGAAGTTTTACACAGAGGAGAGGAACCAGTGCATACATATGGTGGATTCCTAATAAATGTTGTTGTCATAGCTGTAGCTTTTACAAAGCCGAAGTGCATACCACAGACCCAGTGGCACCCACACTTTTACTTTGTGGCTTCTGGCTGTCCACATCTTTAATGCAAATAGATGTGCCTTTTAGACAATGCTATTTTTGTATGGAGTAACTCCATTTCCATCCAAATGTCATTTCTTTCAGTTCTTATTCACTCCTACTACTGTTCTAACTTGATTTCAGTCTACCCTAGCTTAAATAAATACATATTCATTTTAAAATGTGAAATTATAACCTCTCAATCTATTGTCATCCTTTGTATCTATGCACTTGAGTAAAAGCCTACTATATGCTTTAGTTAATTTGCTTGGGAATTAATTTCGGTAAAAGTGTTTGACTCTGCAGAAGAATAGGAAGAAAAAATGACAGGAACTTCTAAAAATATTACTATACTCTCTTTTATCACTAAATCATTTTTTAACCTAATATCAAGAAAAATAAGAATGAAGGAAATAAAAATGTCTTTCAAACAACAAAAGACAAATTGACTAATTAAGTAAAATACAACTACTGATTTATTTATCTAACAGCTGGAATAAGGCATAAGGAGTTGATCCAGAGCATAAAGTTACAGAAATTTAGACCTGGGAAATCACACCTGGCAATCTCTCACAGCCAATAGAAAGCTAAGACCAAAGAGATTCTTTGCCTTATTCAGGCTCATAGAGATCATTAATCAGACATGGCAAAAATTCCACATTTTCAAGCTCTTTCAAAGAAATTCTTTGCACTACACCATGCTACTTCTTGCATAATGATTTAAATAATAATTTACTAACTTATTTTGCAGTATAATTTTATAATTTTTACAAATGTGTCTGCAAGTAGCTTGAGTACTCCAAAACATTTCTACTTGATCTTTCCTCTTCTTTGCCACAAAGCATTCATTGACTCCCCATCTTTTATTCAGAGACAAAGGAAAGGTCTTTCCAGGGCACTACATGGCCCTAGGTAACCCATTCCACTCCTGCTATCTCTCTCTCTCCAACCCCACCCCATCTCTCCCTTACCAACTTCTCTAACTACATTGGGTTCCTTACTTTACGGCTAACCTATCAGTCATGTTCCCTCTCCTGAGGTTTGCACTTCCTCTTTATTTTCCTAAATGCTCTTTTCTCAGATATAGGTATGGTTCCGTTTCTCACCTTCTTTAAGTCATTGTTTAAATCTCACATTCTAAAATGAGTCTTTTCCTGACCAGCCTGATTAAGGTTTCCATTTTATTAACTGCTATATCCCTACCTCTAAAAACAGTGTCTAGATTATAGTAGAACATAATATTTTTTGTTGCTGAATTCATGGATGAATGATGAATGAGTAATGAGTTATTAATTTGCATTTCCAAAAAGTAAATTATATGGAGTCAAGAGGAAGTGGAAAACAAATACTTCTTTGTTGATATGCCGAAGAGTGTGCATTGATCTATTAGAGAAACATGAATGAAATCTTTGGATATTTAAAGACTTATTGATATTATTTTCACTTTATCAATTTCTTCCTGTTTTGTTTCATTCCATAGCAAGTATCTTGGCAGCTAGGAGGTATTTACATCTCTCTGTCATCACTAATATAACCAACTGGTGGTGTGAATGAGAATAGTGAATGCTTACAGGAGGCTCAGTTCTTGAGAAGATATTAGTTTTATCTATGTAAAAAAGCTGTATGTACACTATGTAGTTTAGATTGATATTAGGGATAAAAATGGCTTTAGAGTTCATTCAAAGCTTCTGCTACAGAATCCATCATTGAAAGAGAGTAGAAAGTAGAAAGCCACATTTTATGGAATATTATACAATAATATATAAAAGCAAATTAGAGGTTTGCTTAGATATATACATAGAAACATGTATAGAACTTAAATGAATAGGATTTATTTAAAGGGTAAGAAAGAATATGTGTGTGTGTGTTTAAACATACCACCAGTTGGTTATATATACATACACACTCATATTCTTTCTTACCATTTAAATAAGTGCTATATATATATACACACATACACATGAATATATGCATATACAATGCGTATATATGTATATGAGTGTATGTGTGTATAAACACCCAGTGCTAAGTGAAAACTAAAAGTGAGAAATATATATAATATATATATTAAATTGTATCATATATATTATTTATTTTTCTCCATTAGGCATCAGCACAAAATGAGGTATGTTAAGGACTAGATGGAAGAGTTAAACTTATTTGAATTTCCCATTAACAAACACTAAATGCTATTAAAAGCAATAGCTGGCATTTATAAATATAAGTCTTGAAATATAAAAATTAAATTAAGTTAATATCTAAAAGAAATAATGAAGTTACTGGAAGTAAAATTTCAAAATACTAATTCTCATTCATTAAGTATGTAAATTTATATTTAAATTTCTGAAAATGTATACATCAACACCTTCCATTGGAATAAAAGATGGAGTTCAGAATTTAAAGATAAGCAATAACAATTGCACAGGTATTAAATGATTTGACTTAAAATCAACAGTCTGTTATACACAGTTTAAAATCTTTCCCCTTCTTCAGCATCAGCCCAGCAACCTAAAACAATATTTGAAAAATATTTTAATCCCATTGAATGTACTTCATAATTGAAGATTAATTAGGAATACAAATACAATCGCATGTTGTAAATTAGATTTAGAAGCAGCTTGAAGATACAAGGAAAGTATTTCTTGCCATATATGTCATTGTAAAATAGTTCCTATCAAGGAGTGTGAAATAAATGCATGTAAAGTAATGAATTCTGATTCTACTCTAATCAGATATCAGCATAGATACATATCTTCTTTTTAAGCCTTTGCATAATTTAAAGCAACAGAGCCATTTGACTCAGTTAGAAATACACATAATACACAGTAATGGAGCCATTTGACTCAGTTAGAAATACACATTTCTAAAATAGAAATATATGTGAAAGCCGGGCGCGGTGGCTTATGCCTGTTATCCCAGCACTTTGGGAGGCCGAGGTGGGCACATCACCTGAGGTCGGGAGTTTGAGACCAGCCTGAACAACATGGAGAAACCCCGTGTCCATTAAAAATACAAAATTAGCCGGGCATGGTAGCCCATGCCTGTAACCCCAGCTACTCAGGAGGCTGAGGCAAGAGAATCGCTTGAACCCGGGAAGTGGAGATTGCAGTGAGCAGAGATGCAGCCATTGCACTCCAGCCTGGGCAACAAGAGCAAAACTCCGTCCAAAAACCAACAACAACAACAACAACGATAACAACAACAATTAAAAAAGAAAGAAAGAAAAGAATAAAAGAAATATGTGTGATAACTGTTTTCTTTTCAAAAAGGAGTATTGTCATCTTGTATGCTTTCCTAAAGATATTTTTCCCTTCTGTGTTCATGCTTTAATGGTGCTATACATAGGAGTGAAGCTGTACTGCATTGTCTTCAATATTTAATTGTTTATTGAGCAAAGCAGCAAAACTTTATTGCTTAGAAAGGTTTTACTGAAATCATTTGTAAGCTCTGAAACCAGAGCCAGCTTCACGCTTGAAGCAGATTAGCACAATTTTATTTTCTCAATTAATAAAACTCAATTTCTTTAAATTAGATAGCATGTATATTTGAAAATACAGAAGACAAATTAAGAAAAATTAATACCCACTCAATTGTTTGTTTAGAAATATTTCCTATTTAGTAAGTTCAATACTGACTTTTACATTTAGATCTTAATTATGGGAGATAGCAGTAAATTACAAAATAAAGCTTCTCTCTAAGTATCCGTCACAAATTGAAAATCATTGCATTTATAAATATTTACTTTAATATTCATGATTAACAGAGAAAGTTAATACAAAATACCATTCCCAGTGATACCCTTACATCCTTCTTTATTAACTAGAGACATATATTAGCATATAATTAGTAGATATAGTTCGAGGAATACGTTTTGGAATAGGTCTCTGATTTTCTTTATTTCCTCTAACATAGGTTCTCTAAGGTAGATTAGCAAATTAGTTCATGTGCCCTGTAGTCTTATAAGTTATTAGTTTGACATTTTCCTACTGCTAAAATCAACAATTAATTTGTTCATTGGCTGATGTTACTGAACAATAAATATATATTATAATTTTTCTAATACATTTTTATAAAGATATACCAGTGTTGTATATTTTTTTCCCTTTAAGCATTATTTTTCTCCTATAGGTATCATAAAGTTAGTGTCCATTAAATGATCTCACACACAATTAGTCAATGTCAGCAAAATTGGATTTTCATTAGAAATGTTTTATCATATTTTAAAGTAATAAAATTATATGTGTACACAATACCTATAGAAATGATGCGATTTTTATTATAAATATGCAACTGTTACTTGTCCTTTCTAATGTTTCTCTTATTTCCAAATTCCTGAAAAATCCAGTATTGGCTTGCTAGTATTCATTCTCTATACCTCTGCAGGAACATAGATAGAGATTCTTGTCGTATAACTTTAGTAAATTTCATATAGCCTATACTACTCAGTACCTTATTTTTCTTAATGTTTAGTTCATATCTCCAGATTAGTCATTAGTGTTTAGTTATTGTCAGTATAATAAACATTTAAGTAATTTTCAAAGGCTTCTGAATTTCCATGATGTGTAGATGTAACACATATTTGTTCAAACTCTTGCCATTAAATGGACTAATTACTTCCATTAAAATAACACTATACTAAAAATATTTGTTCATATTCCCCCAGGCATTGGTGCTTTTATTTCTGTAGGTTGTATTACTAAGTGTGGTTTTTCTAGATCAAAGAGTGTGAATTTGTAATTTTAATATATACTGTAGGCTTTTTTCCAAAAAATGTTATAGCAATTTAGATTCAAATTGATGCCCATTTTACTGTAGTATTGTGTGCAATGGCAAACACTTAAATTTATCAATTCTAAAGTTTGAAATAAGAAAATTGTGGATTTTAACTTGAATATTCTAAATCAGAAGTGCAGTGAATTCTATTATCATGGTTTTTCATAATTTAAGCTTCTTCTCTAGCAATATATTACTCATTAAAAAAAAGAAAAGAAATTAAAGTTGCACCAGATGAAGTAAACAGGCAAGGAAGACTTTTCTCAAGACTATTGCAATAGGGAAGAGGCAGTAGGCAGTGACGTCAACTTTGCTGAAACAAAAGGTGAGAGGGTTTTTAAGCAACAGGAGGAGCTAATGGAAAAGTACTAGAGGACATTAGTGGGGAGGTTGGTCAAGGTGATTAGGCCATCTCTGTTGCTGATTGGTGCTTATTGAAGTTAGGCTCTTACCCACTCACAGAAACTGGGAGACAGAGGCCCTGTCGTTCTTGATGATTACATTTCATAGGGATTCTCCCAGGTTCTTGGGAAAGTTGTTCCTGCCATGTAAAGCTGGCAAGAGGCTAAGAGAAGATTAATAGCTCAAAGAAGCAGATAAATAGTTGCAAATTTTCTAAGGCAAACATAAGAAACGAGAGGCCATGGACCTATAGTCGGGAAGAAACCTGTCTAAGGTTTAGTCAAACTGAGGAGAACCTTACGGCCATTTTGTTCACTATATAAAAAGTAACTTGTGCTTGTGGCTTCCTCACCTAATGACAATTTACTTGCCTAATCTTCTCTGTGGAGGCTAAAGCAACTCCATCTTGGATGCTAGTCTGCTATGTTGACTTCAGATTAACCCCAGTTCCAGGAATACCTCTAAGATTTCGAATTTATCTAAAGTTCCTTGTGTAAGAGCATGTACTTACCTTAAATCCTGCCCTTAAGCATTCATGCCTTTCCCTGAGGGATACTTCAATTGTACTACACATTCCTTCTGAAGCACATATACACTTTCTTTATGGATATAGGCCCTGTGTCTGGGGGGTAACAGTTTGGGAATAGTGGCCCCCAACACAGGGCTTCTGTTCTTAAGTCTCTGTTAAATGTTTTATTCTAAGAAACTGGATTTATCATCCCCTTTCTTCAGCCTCTTAGATTCCTCAGCCTTTGGGAGATTTGCATATCCTTGCTCACAGGGAACACTCTTCCCTCAATCATCATCAGTCCTTGCTCTATCATGTGTTTGCTGATAGATCTATTTTTATATTCTTTTCTATCTCTATCTCACATCTATTTTTATTTTTCAATTTAATTTTTTAGTTTTTTTTCTGTTTTTCTAAACTGACAAAATTATATGTATTTGTCATGTACAATATACTGTCCTGAAGAGCATATACATTGTGGAATGACTAATTAACATATGTAGTTAACATATGCATTACCTCACATAGTTATTGTTTTTGTGCTGAGAACACTTTACATCTGCTCTCTTAGCGTTTCTCAAGAATACAATATATTCTAAATTCTACTCAGATCTCTTGAGCTTATTTTTTCTATGTAACTGAGATTTTGTATCCTTTCGCCAACACCACCTTAACCCCCAACCACCGTAGCCTCTGGTAGCCACCATCCTACTCTCTACTTCTGTGAGATCAATTATGTTTTTAGATATGTAAATGATATCATGCAGTATTTGCCTTTCTGTGCCTGGCTTATTGCACTTAAAATAATGGCCTCCAGGTTCATCCATGTCATCACAAATGACAGAATTCTTTTCTTTTTTATGGCTGAATAGTATTTTGTTGTATGTGTGTGTGTGTGTGTATATGTATATGTGTACCACATTTTCTTTATTCATTCATCCATTGATGGACACTTAGATTTATTTCATATCTTGGCTAATGTGAATAATGCTTCAATAAAAATGAGAGTGCAGAAATCTCTTTGACATAATGATTTTATTTTCTTTGGATATATACCTAATAGTGGGATTGCATAATCCTATGGTAGTTCTAGTTTTAATTTTTTTTAAGTGTTGGAAATAAGAGCTCAGAGTCTCAAAGAAAATGAGCACTCAAATGAAGGATTTCTCAGCAAGGCAAATTTACTTCTGCAGAAGGGTGCTGCTCATTCTTCTGGTCACTGCAAGAGCACACCAAACAAAGGAGGGTAGGGGTTTTTATCCCTAATTCAGTCAGTCCCTGCTACTGTGTCCGGTCCCCGTTGGCTGGGGTCAGACCGCACAATCTAAGCTGATCCCAATTGCCTACTTCAAATGGAGCAGGGGTAGGGGCTACAGCAGCAGGAAGAGCAGTTTCAGAACTAAGGGTGCCAAATAAGGAACAGACGTGGGTTTTTAGAGATTGAGAACAGATGTGTGTTACAGATTGGGAATGGATGTGGACTACAGATTGGGAATGGATGTGGGTTACAGATTGGGAATGGATGTGGGTTACAAGTTGGGAACAGATGTGAATTACAGATTGGGAATGGCTGGAAGCTTGTTTACCATAATTAGGGGCAAGGAGGCAAGGAAGTTAGGCTTTGCAAATAGAGGACAAGCAGAACCTTTGAAAAGGAACTCGCTGTTTCCAACATTGAGGAAACTTCATACTGTTTTCCATAGTGTCTGTACTAATTTACATTCCCACCAACAGTGCATTAGGATTCTTGTTTTTCTACATCCTCAGCAACACTTGTAATTTTTTGTCTTTTTGATAATAGCCACAGTAACAGGTATGATGTCTCCTGATGATTAATGGTGTTAAGCAAGTTTTATTTACCTATTGGTCATTTGTGTTTGTGTGTGTGTGTGTGTGTGTTTGAGAAGCATCTTTCAGGTCCTTTGTCCAATTTTGAATTGGGGCAATTTGTTTTGTTTGTTTGTTTTGTTTTGTTTGTGCTATTGAGTTCAGTTCCTCATTTGTTTTGGATTTCAACTCTTTATCAGATGTGTAATTTGCAGATACTTTGTCCAATTCTCTAGATTGTCCTTTACTCTGTTGATTGTTTCCTTTGCTGTGCAGAAGCTTTTAAGTTTTATGTAATCCCATTTGTCTATTTTTGCTTTTCTTGGAGCCATAAGCAAAAAAAAAAAAAAAAAACAAAAACCAAAAACCCCAAAAAGCAACAACCAAAAAAAAGTGTTGCCCAGATCAATGTCATTGTCATAGAGGTTACCCCCTATATTTTCTTCTAGTGGTTTCATAGTTTTAGGTCTTGTAATTAATTCTTTAATCCCTGTTGAGTTGGCTTTTGCATACAGTATGAGATAAGGGTTTAATTTCATTCTTCTAAATGCAGATATCTAGTGCTGCCAGAATCATTTATTGAGAGATTGTCCCCATAGTGTATTATTGGCTTCTTTGTTGAAAATCAGTTGGCTGTAAATGCATGGACTTATTTCTGAGCTCTCTGTTATTTTCCATTAGTTTTTGAGTCTCTTTTTATGCCAGTACCATGCTGTTTTGTTTACAACAGTAGCTTTGTAGTTTATTTTGAAGTCAGGTGGTATAATGCCTCTAGCTTTGTTCTTTTTGCTTAAAATTTCTTCAGCTATTTGGGGTCTTTTATGATTTCATACAAATTTTAGGATGATCTTTTCTCTTTCTGTGAAGAATATCATTGGTATTTTAATAGGAATTGCATTAAATTTGTAGATCACTTTGGAGAGTACAGGCATTTAAACAATATTAATTAATCCAATCCATGAACACAAGACATTTGTTATTTCATGCATTTATGTCTTCTTCAGTCTATTTAATCAGTGTTTTGTAGTTTTCAGTGTAGAGATCTTTTACCTCCTTTATTAAATTCAATTATTTCATGTTTTTATAGCTAGTGTAAATAGGATTGGTTTCTTGCTTTCTTTTTCAGGTTGTTTGCAATTTGTGCATACAAACATTACTGATTTTTATCTGTTGATTTTATATTCTGCAACTTTACGGAAATACTAATTCTAACAGCACTTTAGTGGAGTCTTTAGTTTTCTACATATAAAATTATGTCATCAACAAACAGACATGATTTAACTTCTTCCTTTGTAATTTGGATGCATTTTATTTCTTTCTCTTGCATAATTGCTCTGGTAAGGACCTCCAGTGTACTATAATGAATAGAAATGGCAAGAGTTGGCATTCTTTTCATTTTTTATATCTCAGAGAAGACACTTTTAGGTTGAGTATGATATTAGCTGTGGGTTTGTCATATACAGTCTTTATTATGTTGAGACACATTTATTTTATATCTAATTTGCTGAGTGTTTTTATAATGAAAGGATGTTGAATTTTGTCAAATGCTTTTTCTGCTCCTATTGAAATAATCATATGGCTTTTGTTCTTAGTTCTATTAATTTGATGTATCACATCTATTGATTTATGTATGCCGAATCATCCTCGCATCCCTGGAATAAATCCCACGTGATCATCATAAATTATTTGTAAAATATACTGTTCAATTTGTTCTCTCCTCTTCAATTTTTCGGAAGAGATTGAGAAGAACTGGTATTAGATCTTCTTTAAATGTTTAATAGAAGTCATCGTTGAAGACATCAACTCCTGGGCTTTTCTTGGATGGGGGACTTTTTATTACCGCTTTAGTTTCCTTACTCATTATTGGCCTGTTAAGAATTTCTGTTTCTTCATAACTCAGTCTTGGTAGGTTGCATGTATTAAGTTATTTTTCCAATTAGTTTGTGTCTAATTGTTCATAACAATCTCTCATGATCCTTTGTATTTCTATAGTATCAGTTTTAATGACCCCTATGACTCAATCATTTGCTCTTTTGGTGCTGTCCCATAAATTCTATAAACTTTCTTGACTCATTTTCACTCCTTTTTCTTTGTTCTTCTCTGACTATTTTCAAATAATCTGTTTTTGGGTTCACAGATTCTCTCTCCTGTTTGAACAATTCTGCTGTTGATCCGCTATTGCATTTTTGGTTTCATTCATTATATTTTTCACTTCAGGACATCTCTTTGATTTTTTGTTCCTTTGTCATTCTAATCCCTCTATTAAATATCTCGTTTTGGTCATTTATCATTTTCCTCATTCCATTGAATGGCTCTCCTGTATTTTTTTGAACTTTGCTGAGTGTCCTTAGAATAATTTTCAATTTTTTTTGTGAGAAAGTCAATCAATCCATCTCGATGTTTTGGGGTCAGTCACTGACCCCTCATTTTGTCCATTTGATAATACCATCTTTTCCTGATTGATCATTAACTTTATGGTAATGTGTAGATGTCTGCACATTTGAATTAGTAAGTATTTATTTTAATCTTTGCAGACTGGCTTTGACTGAGAAAGCTTTGTAGCAGGCATGGCACTGGGGTACAAAAGCACCCTACGATAGACGTGGCTGGCCAGCATGGTGTTTTCAAAAGCCCAGGGCTCAATGTAGCAGTTGTGGCACTGGGATGCTCCAGATACCTGGGGCTCATTGTAGCGCTCACTGCCTGCCACTGAGTGCTGTCAAGGGCTCAAATTCCCTGAAGCTGGCCTAACACTGATGTGGGCTTATGATTGAATCCTCCATGCATACCTGAAGCCTGGGACTCTGTGGTCTTGCCTGGCTCCAGGACATGTCTAGTGATTCATTCCTCAGGTACTGGACTAGAATATGGGGCATGATAATGTGCTCAGTGCTGAGTTTTCAAAGGCAAAGTCCTTTGATCACTTCCCTCTCTTTCCCCCAAGAAGACCGTTTCTCTCTTGTGCTGTGCTGCCTGGGGTCAGGAGAGAGTGATGCAGGTAATCTAAGAATATTCTTCCTACCTTCCTTCTTCAATGCATATTTTTCATTATTGTGCTACAACCAGGTACTGTGATCTCCCACTTGGATTTCTTATCTCTTTGGAAAGTATTCTTTTTTGTAGATAGTTGTTCAAATTGATGTTTCTGTGGAAGGACTATTGCTGAAGATTCCTGGTTTTATTCTAGTATTGTCCAAAGACAATATTCATGGAAGATACAGCTTTGACTTTTCACATTTTATGCTATCTTCCTTTTATGTTAAACTAGAATTATAACAATTGGCTGTATATGGCATTCTTGATGAACAGATGACTTCTCTCCATAATCCATTAATTTTATTCAGTTGCCCTTCAATTTCCAGTTTGTAGATGAGAATTTCCAGGATTGGCAGTATTTCTTTACTTTTTTGGAATTTTTTTCTATTCTAAAGATTATAAGATTTTATCTATTTTGAATTAAAGATTTGTATCAGGGTATTACGACTTGTTTGTCATTTTTCATCAATCCTCTCTGGGACTTGATAAGCACTTTAAATCTCAAGGCTCAAAGAAAATGCTTCTGTTGTTTGTTTTTCCCTTTCTTTATTCCTTTATCCTCTGGAATTGCTTTCCAGGGGTTATGTCTGCTTTATGATACAAGTCTCTTAGCTTATTTATATTACATTTTATTCCTTTTTGTTTTATAGATGGAGTCTTGCTATGTAGGCCAGGCTGGTTTCAAACTTCTGTGCTCAAGCAATCCTTTCGCCTTAGCCTTCTTCATAACTAAGAATACAGTTTTCATTTTTATATTTCCTCAGTATTAACACTATTTCTCTCTACCCACTCTGCACGCTATGAATTTAGATTTAAGTTGTTATTATATTTTCTTCAGTTAAAGAAATTTTAAATTCAAAGTCTATTAATACCAGACATTATGTTTACATACTTGTTTAATTTCTTTCAGGAAAAAATGACTACTGTCTTCTAAGGACTAGCAATGTAGACAATTTGGTCCACCACTGTACATCCCAGACTTTAAATCTCAGCATATACCTCTTGTCTATACATCTCAGCAACTTACTCAGAGACACGAATTCTGCACTAAAAGGCAGCTCACATAGATTAGTCACTAACTTATTCTTCTTCTGTCTTCCAAAAATATAGATCTGTCATTGCTAACTTTAATAATAAAGATAAAATAGAAAATAGATCAGATACGGACATGCACACATATAGGTACATACACACACATATGTAGAAACATAAACATTATGTTTCTGCAAACAAGGTATGATGACAATGTTTTGAAGCAGCATCTGGCAAACTGTATACGCATGTATATAGATATGTAATGCTATTAACATTCATGTTTTAGATGTACATTCATATTTAAATATAAATTACATAAATTGGTCATATTTACCCCAGATAGCTTTTGTTACTCCAATAAGTGTATATTTTTGCTCATGTTCTCTATCTTCAAGTGAAGATAAGTAAGGTTCAGATAGAAGATGTAAGGAGACATATTTCCATATCTTCTGAAAGAGCCAGAGAATGGGTCTGGCTCTGACCTAACAATTAGACATTTTAATCATGGAATCCAAGAAGGTGGTCTCATCCTAGACTTTAAAATATGACATTATATTTAAGGGCAGCAGAGGGTCATAATTAAGTAGATCTTACACATAATGCTCTGTGCACCATTCAGGATTTATTTGATTGACTGGGTGGAATGTTCCATAAACAATTCAAATGTGTGCTAAACTACAGAGCTTGCACATACGGAATAGCCATATCTTAGAAAAGGAAATGGACACCCTTCTCTAGAAACCTGTTAGTAAGCATCATCTTGATAACAGTCTTTTTCAGAATATTCCATTAAAAGAAATCTGAAACTTCAATTTATATTACATCTAATTGATTTTTATATTATATATTTTATTTTGTGCTTTATATGAAATATTGTTATACATTTTTTTTTTTTTTTTTTTGAGACGGAGTCCCGCTTTTTAGCCCAGGCAGGATTGCAGTGGCGCAATCTCGGCTCACTGCAAGCTCCGCCTCCCAGGTTCACGCCATTCTCCTGCCTCAGCCTCCCGAATAGCTGGGACTACAGGCGCCCGCCACCGCGCCGGCTAATTTTTTGTATTTTTAGTAGAGACGGGGTTTCACCGTGTTAGCCAAGATGGTCTCGATCTCCTGACCTTGTGATCCGCCCGCCTCGGCCTCCCAAAGTGCTGGGATTACAGGCGTGAGCCACCGCGCCCAGCCTGTTATACATTTTATTAAATTAATTTTATATTTTTAACTGTACTATAAAATTTATATTTGGTAATATAAATTGACATTTATATTATCAAATTTAAACTTCTTTCTGAGCTACCTTAACAAATATAGTATCAAGTTACCTAGTGGAATTTAATAAAAGCTAATATTATTTCGCATTCCTCTCTGTAGGTAAAAGAAACCAAAACAATCAGACGTAAATGGCAAAAGGAGACTCTTCTTACAAAGCATTAGCAGCATAACCATAACAAAGTTTGTTGTGTCTTATGTATGTTGCTGTCTGTCCTCTACTTCTCTATTCTCTTACGGTCAACCAGCTTCATTTGTTTCTGTGATCTGTATTTACATAGTGACTCGAATGATAATCTCAATGCCCAGTTCAAGGCCTCCTCCATTGGAACATTTGTTCAACTTTCCGATTCTCCCTGGATACCCCACCTGGTTATGGAAACAGTGGTATATTTCCTATCTTTAATGTCTAAAGATGCATATAGGGACTTTGTAACTCAGAGACAGGAAGGCAAAGCATCCAGTACAAACTGCATTACTTCATAAATGTCTCAGTATTACCAAATTCAACACATATATAAACAATGATTTTGCTTAACATGATACAAAATGTCTTTTTTTATTAAAAATGACCATATTCAGTCAAATAAGTGGCTATATCAGTCTAAATTTTTGAGTTAACCCTGACTGCAAGTTATTGACTCACTGCTTGGTCTAAGTGAAGTTAAAAAAAAAAAAAAGGAAAGAAAGAATGAAACTGTGATTTATTTGCTGAAAATGCTGTGCAGATAAACTCCTTTCTGTATGAGAGGATTTCTGTGATATTCATCATTCTTGACATTCTGGTTCACATTGTGTTGTATTTCACACACAAAAAAATGGATATTACTTTTGTTCCTCACCTTGACCATTTAACAATATTGCAGAAGATGAAACCCGACTCTGCTGTCCTTTAACCTTGTGTGTCTAGAATTTCATTTTATCTTTTAGGTTTATGTAGTTGAAGTGCTATAAAGTAAAGGATGGCCCATCTACTTTAGGTGCCAACCAAGATGGATGACTTGTCCTAGATGATATATATTTTTTCGAGCCAATTGAGTGTCTGATTAATTGAAGAGAGAAAATTATTGCAAAAATTGCTAGCATGACATTTATTCTCTTTATGCTTTGTGTGACTTGCCTTTATGAGAATTATATTTTTGATTCAATTTCTGTCTGCATTGTTTCTGCCAGAATACTACATATAAGACATTTTGAATCTGCAGAAATTGGGAAATAATGCATGAGATGAAATGCTGTAACAAATCTCTGAGGCAATAAGAAATAAGTTACTATCAAAGTATATTAAAACTCAAACTAAGAGTATTTATATTGTCAATACCGTGTAAGACCACTTATGAATTATATGGAATAATTGATAAAAATAATTATAAAGATAAATTATAAAAATAATTTCAAGAAAGATATATATGCATTTATCTTATACATGCCTCTACATGTAAATGAATGCCATTTCCATGAAGCAGGGAGTTCACTTTCTTTAGTGCCTCATCCTCAGAAGTAAGAATGCCTGATACACGGGGCTCTCAGTAAATACTTTTTGAATAAATGAAGGAACTAACCATTTTTTAATACACTTTCCAAAGTTTCCAGCATATAATAAAAGAAAATAAAACAAGTTAGAGCAAAATGATATCTTTCAGAACTGAAAGTTGACTTAGATATGAAGACTAAAATTTCTAAAACCAGATTTTTACTCTAACTTAGTTAGATATAGGGTTTGTATAATGCCATATAACACGAATTCTTTCATTCAGCAGTTATTTAGTGGATACCACCTGAGTGTTCAGCAAAGTTCTAACCAAGTTTATTTTTAATTCTCATGATACTATGAAATAATTATTGATTTTTCACACTTTTACATAAGGAAATGAGGCTCAGCATAGCATTTTTAAATGCTGAATCAATCAATTATTTACAGAGAACCATGTAGTTAAAATATGATAAATATCCATGTCTATCCATGTCTAGACACTCATATACATAAAATTCTGAAATTTAGCTGGGAACTAAGAGCAAATATGCACGGTTCACAAATCTTAACTTATTTTTTATGTCTTGGAGAAAGTTGTTACGTCTTTAACCATGACTCAAGATTTATTTTAAGGAAAAACAATTTATTTTAAAATGTTTTAAATAATGAAGTGATGGGTAGAAAATATACATCTTTCTTCACCATTAAGTAGAGAAATTCTTACCCACTTAAAAATAGTCCTCACTCCCTATCCCACTTTGAGTAAAGACTAATTAATTTTTTGATTGTTTTATTCCATGAATTTGTAAGATAAATAACTTCTTTCTCAATGCATGTTATTTTAGCCTCAATAATAGACTTTAAAAATGTGATGTTTCATTTTATATTCTTTACACACACTTAATTGTACTTTGCTCAATGCTTTTTTTTTTTTCATTTCTTCTTCCCTTTTTTTCTCTTTTGCCTTTATTCTTTCATCTCATCTTCCTATTCTTCCCTGGCTTCTTTCCCTTTTCCTGGTCTTTTTTCATTTTTTAAAAATCCCTTCTTTCATTTTTGTTTCTCATTATTGAAGCAAATCCTTAAATACAATGTGGCTAAGTTGTGGCAGGGTGGCTCTAAATTGTCTCTCAATAATCCCCACTTTCTGGTATTCAGACACTTGTTGAATCCTCTTCCTGTGAGTATGGGATGGTGTAGACTTGTTTCTAAACAACAGAATATGACAAAACTTTTGGAATGTAATTTCCATGAATAGGTTAAGTGTAACTTGCACATGCTAACAGACTCTATTTCCTAGTTTGCTTTCATGCTTTGATGAAGCAAGCTGCCATGCTGTAAGAGCCCACATGGCAGGAAATTGATGGTGTCCTTCAGCTAACAGCAGGTAGAAACTGGTACCCTTGCACCAGTATTTCTCAAGAAGCTGAATTGTGCCAAAAAGCATGTGATCTTAGAAATACTCCATCCTCAGTCTTCAGATGAGACCACAGACCTGGATAACATCCTGACTGTAGCCTTGAGAGAGGACCTAATTAATTTGTGCCTAGACCTCTGACCTAAAGAAACTGAGATAATTAATGTATATTGCTGTGATAGCCTAAGTTTTGTGGTAGTATTTTATACAGCAGTTAATAAATACATAAGGTTTTTCATGCTCATTACTACTTTTTTCTCGTATCATCTTTTTAAAAGATAAATTCTGCAGTTCTTCAAAGTTCTATCAAAATCTGTTTGATGGGGCAAAGAGAGAATATTTTTATACTCTGTCACATCGAGGTTTTTATTTGAAAAATCTTTTTTTGCACTCAACATCAGCATGAACATCAGTTTGATTACCAATAAAAAATGTAGTCAGTAACTAAGTTTATTTTAAAAATTGACAGCTGCTTTTATTTTGAATAATGGATATTGAAATGTCTGTAAACCTGATTATGATTTATGTGTGCATCACCAACAATTCCATTTATATAATTTTCCCAAAATCTATTAAAATTGAAGGTATTGGTGGTACAAAATGTGATGTTTTAATATACACATACATTGTGAAATGATTAAATCAAGCTAATTAAGATATCCATCGCCTTGCAGAGTTATGTTTTCTTTCTCCTGTGGTAAAAACATTAAAGATCTATTGTCAGAATTTTCAAGTATACAGTACAATATTATCATTTATCATCACCATACTATACAATAGATCTCTGGATCTATTATTCCTTCTGTCTAGCTGAAACTTTTTACCTTTTAACAAAAATTTCTCTTTCCTCCTTGCCTTCCTTCAGCTCCCAGCAACCACAATTCTACCCTCTACTCCTATGAGTTTGATTTTTCAGATTCCACATATAAGTGAAAATCAGTATTTGCCTTTCTGTTCTTATGTCAGTTATCAAAATGCCTTCAAAATTCATCCATGTTGTTGCAACTGAATATATTTCCTCATTTGTTAAGTCTAAATAGTATTTATTTGTGTGGCACATATGTATATATCACATATATAATATTTTTTCACTATATATAAATGTGATACATATAAATGTGATATATGTGATATATACATAAATGCTGTGTGTGTATATATATGTAAATGCTATATATATATGTGTGTATATGTGTGTGTGTGTGTGTGTGTGTGTATATATATATATATATATATATATATATATATATCTATATATATATCTCACAGATGTTCCTCCAGGAATTATTTGTTTTTCATTTTCCATGTTACATTATTATCAAACATTTCTAGAAGATGGACAAATATTCTGTGTGACAAATATTCATCCATGTCCCTGCAAAGGAAATGAACTCATCCATTTGTTTTATGGCTGCATAGTATTCCATGGTGTATATGTGTAACATTTTCTTAATCCAGTCTATCGTTGATGGGCAGTTGGGTTGGTTCCAAGTCTTTGCTATTGTGAACAGTGCCCCAATAAACATACGTGTGCTTGTGTCTTTATAGTAGAATGATTTATAATCCTTTGGGTATACACTCAGTAATGGGATTGCTGGGTCAAGTGGCATTTCTAGTTGTAGGTCCTTTAGGAATCACCACCCTGTCTTCCACAACAGTTGAACTAATTTATACTCCCACCAACAGTGTAAAAATGTTCCTGTTTACCCACATCCTCTCCAGCATCTGTTGTTCCTGACTTTTAATGATCATCATTCTAACTGGTGTGAGACTGTATCTCATTGTGGTTGTGATTTGAATTTCTCTAATGATCAGTGATGATGAGCTTTTTTTCATATGTTTGTTGGCCTCATAAATGTCTTCTTTTGAGAAGTGTCTGTTCATATACTTTGCCCTCTTTTTGATGGGGTTGTTTGTTCTTTGCTTGTAAATTTAAGTTCCTTGTAGATTCTGGATATTAGCCCTTTGTCAGGTGGATAGATTGCAAAAATTTTCTCCCATTCTGTAGGTTGCCTGTTTACTCAGATGATAGTTTCTTTTGCTGTGCAGAAGCTCTTTAGTTTAATTGGATCCCATTTATCAATTTTGGCTTTTATTGCCATTGCTTTTGGTGTTTTAGTCGTGAAGTCTTTGCCAATGTCTATATCCTGAATGGTATTGCCTAGGTTTTCTGCTAGGGTTGTTATGATTTTTAGGTCGTATGTTTAAGTCTGTAATCCATCTTGAGTTAATATTTTTATAAGGTTTAAGAAAGGGGTCCAGTTTCATTTTTCTGCATATGGCTAGTCAGTTTTCCCAACACCATTTATTAAAGAATCCTTTCCCCATTGCTTGTTTTTGTCAAGTTTGTCAAAGATCAGATGGTTGTAGATGCATGGTGTTATTTGTGAGGCCTCTGTTCTGTTCCATTGGTCTACATATCTGTTTTGGTACCAGTATCATGCAGTTTTGGTACCAGTATCATGCAGTTTTGGTTACTGTAGCTTTGTAGTATAGTTTGAAGTCAGGTAGCATGATGCCTCCAGCTTTGTTCTTTTTGCTGAGGATTGTCTTTGCTATGCGGGCTCGTTTTTGGTTTCCTATGAAATTAAAACTAGTTTTTTTATAATTCTGTGAAGAAAGTCAATGATAGCTTCACAGGAATAGCATTGAATCTATAAATTCCTTTGGGCAGTATGGCCATTTTCACAATATTGATTTTTTCTATCCATGAGCATGGAATGTTATTCTAGTTGTTTGTGTCCTCTCTGATTTCCTTGAGCAGTGGTTTCTAGTTCTCTTTGAAGAGGTCCTTCACATCCCTTGTAAGATGTATTCCTTTGTATTTTATTCTCTTTGTAGCAATTGTAAATGGGAGTTCACTCATGATTTGGCTCTTTGTTTGTCTATTATTTGTGTATAGAAATGCTTGTGATTTTTGCACGTTGATTTTATATCCTGAGACTGTTGAAGTTGCTTATCAGCTTAAGGAGATTTTGGGCTGAGACAATGGGGTTTTCTAAGCATAAAACCATGTCATCTGCAAATAGAGACAATTTGACTTCCTCTCTTCCTATTTGAATACCCTTTATTTATTTATCTTGCCTGATTGCCCTGGCTAGAACTCCCAATACCTTGTTTAATAGGAGTGGTGAGAGAGGACATTCTTTTCCTGTGCCGGTTTTCAAAGAGAATTCTTCCAGGTGTTGCCCATTCAGTATGATATTGGCTGTGGGTTTGTCATAAATAGCTCTTATTATTTTGAGATAACGTCCCACCAATACCTAATTTATTGAGAGTTTTTAGCATGAAGGGCTGTTTAATTTTGCCAAAGGCCTTTTCTGCATCTATTGAAATAATCATGTGCTTTTTGTCTTTGGTTCTGTTTATATGCTGGGTTATGTTTATTGATTTGTGTATATTGAACCAGACTTGCATCCCAGGGATGAAGCCCACTTGATCATAGTGGATAAGCTTTTTGATGGGCTGCTGGATTCGGTTTGCCAGTATTTTATTGAGGATTTTTGCATTGATATTCCACAGGGATATTGGTCTAAAATTCTCTTTTTTTGTTGTGTCTCTGCCAGGCTTTGGTATCTGGATGATACTGGCCTCATAAAATGAGTTAGGGAGGATTCGCTCTTTTTCTATTGATTGGAATAGTCTCAGAAGGAATGGTACCAGCTCCTCCTTGTACCTCTCGTAGAATTCAGCTGTGAATCCATCTGGTCCTGGACTTTTTTTGATTGGTAAGCTATTAATTATTGCCTCAATTTCAGAGCCTGTTATTGGTCTATTCAGAGATTCAACTTCTTCCTGGTTTAGTCTTGGGAGGGTGTATGTGTCGAGGAATTTATCAATTTCTCCTAGATTTTCTAGTTTATTTGCATAGAGGTGTTTATAGTATTCCCTGATGGTAGTTTGTATTCCTGTGGGATCGGTGGTGATATCCCCTTTATTATTTTTTATTGCGTCTGTTTGATTCTTCTCTCTTTTCTTCTTTATTAGGCTTGCTAGAGGTCTATCAATTTTGTTGATCTTTTCAAAAAACCAGCTCCTGGATTCATTGATTTTTTGAAGGGTTTTTCGTGTCTCTATCTCCTTCAGTTCTGCTCTGATCTTAGTTATTTCTTGCCTTCTGCTAGCTTTTGAATGTGTTTGCTCTTGCTTCTCTAGTTCTTTTAATTGTGATGTTAGGGTGTCAATTTTAGATCTTTTCTGCTTTCTCTTGTGGGCTCAAACAAATTTGCAAGGAAAAAACAAACAACCCCATCAAAAAGTGGGCAAAGGATATGAATAGACACTTCTGAAAAGAAGACATTTATGCAGCCAACAGACACATAAAAAAATGCTCATCATTACTGGACATCAGAGAAATGCAAATCAAAACCACAATGAGATATCATCTCACACCAGTTAGAATGGCAATCATTAAAAAGTCAGGAAACAACAGGTGCTGGAGAGGATGTGGAGAAATAGGAACACTTTTACACTGTTGGTGGGACTGTAAACTAGTTCAACCATTGTGGAAGATAGTGTGGCGATTCCTCAGGGATCTAAAACTAGAAATACCATTTGACCCAGCCATCCCATTACCGGGTATATACCCAAAGGAATATAAATCATGCTGCTATAAAGACACATGCACTCGTATGTTTATTGCGGCACTACTCACAATAGCAAAGACTTGGAACCAACCCAAATGTCCAACAATGATAGACTGGATTAAGAAAATGTGACACATATACACCATGGAATACTATGCAGCCATAAAAAATGATGAGTTCATGTCCTTCGTAGGGACATGGACGAAGCTGGAAGCCATCATTCTCAGCAAACTATTGCAAGGACAAAAACCCAAACAGCGCATGTTCTCACTCGTAGGTGGGAATTGAGCAATGAGAACACTTGGACACAGGAAAGGGAACATCACACACCAGGACCTGTTGTGCGGTGGGGGGAGGGGAGGAGGGATAACATTAGGAGATATACCTAATGTAAATGACGAGTTAATGGGTGCAGCACACCAACATGGCACATGTATACATATGTAACAAACCTGCACGTTGTGCACATGTACCCTAAAACTTAAAGTATAATCAATATGTATATAAAAAACAGTAATTTTCTAACTACATTTTTATGACATCAGAAATGACCACAAATAATTTTATCACAGCATTAATTGTTACTAACTTGGTATGTAAAGACTACCAAAAGTAATATATGAAGCTATTCATAATAGCTGTGGATCCTAAAACCTTCAATAAACTCTAGTTATACTTCTTATTCAATTGATACTACTTTGAAGATGTTTCTAGGCTTTAGTTAGGATGCCAAAATTTTTGAGTGGTAAAAGCATATGAATGTTTCAGTATAGAAAAATAATGATATGTATGGAAAATGAGTAAATATTTATCTATAATTATGGATATAATATATGTTACATTTATATATGTATGTTTTGCCTGCTATTTTAAATAACAGACATTGGGAACATTGAAGTGGAAGTTATTTAGATATATTTCTCTGTAACTTTTACTGTTTAATATCCTTGAGAATTTATTCAAAGACCTTGTGAATTCATCCAAAGAGATTTGAATGATATTTGAAGATTTATTTTGTAGCTATTTTCATTTATTTTGGTCTCTTTAAAAAATGACCTCCATAGCTACCTTCCCCTCTGCTCTGTGGAAAGCAAAATTATTTATTCTTCAGAAGTAGGACAGAAAATTGCATACCTAGAGGGTAGACTAAATGTGACATAATCCATCTAGAATTGTGTATATTAAAATCAAAGCTAGAAAGAATTTAGAGATCATTGGGTAATAATTAATATGTATATCACGGTTAAGAAAGCATTTATATATTCTACATAAGCGGATATTTAGATAACATTAATGTATCCTTCAAGTGTCAAAATCTGAGTTAAAAAAAAAAGGGAGGGCTGGGAAAATTCTAAAATGCCTTACACTCTCCTATTCCTCTTTCAGCAGATTTAGGTGATTTGTATCTTGTCATTTGTGTAACTCAGCATTTCACAAGGAGGGAGAGTTAGATACTCATTTGAACACTGTCTATGTTGTCTCATTTATTTGATTCATTTTCCCATCCTTTTGGCTGACAGAGGCTCAGTACTTAGGCCAGGTGGTAGAGCCAACAAATCTTCAAGAGAATGTAAAATGTTGGCAAAATCAACAAACCTCAGATCTTAAATGTCACACCAGCATTTTCGTTGGCCTTATGACTATGCTTTATTCAATTAAATAAGAAGCAACTTGGATTTTTGCATTACTGATTTCTATGATAATTTATTTTGTTTTTAGCTACAATATGTAAAACATCTTCTCTTATTAAGAAATATTGTAGTGTTTCATCATTTCCCATTTGGCAGTTAAATCAATAAAAGCCTTTCTTCTCATTCAGGTATAAGTCGAATGTCCCTGTTTCCAGAATATGGTGTTCAGTCTGCCACATGCCAACCCTTACAAGAAAGATCAGCCTTTTTCCACAAGGTCATTCCTCTAAGTTTTCATATCCAGCTCTATACTTGCATGCTGCTCACTTATGTCCAGGATAAGAGAGGGCTTCCCACATTGCAGCAAGCTTAGTTGATTGTTTCGTTTGTTTGTTTGTTGTTTGTTGTTGTTGTTTGAGACAGAGTTTCGCTCTTGTTGCCCAGGCTGGAGTGCAATGGCGCAATCTCGGCCCACTGCAATCTCCACCTCCCGGGTTCAAGCAATTCTCCTGCCTCAGCCTCCTGAGTAGCTGGGATTACAGGCACCCACCATCACGCCTGGCTGATTTTTTGTATTTTTGGTAGAGATAGGGTTTCTCCATGTTGGTCAGGCTGGTCTGGAACTCCCAACCTCAGGTGATCCCCCTTCTTTGGCCTCCCAAAATGTTGGGATTACAGGTGTGAGCCACCATGCCTGGCCTGTTGTTTTTTTTTAATCAGAACATACGTCTGTCACAAAAAGCACCAGCCAAGATAGAGTAGCACTATGGGTCTCAGAGAAGATATCTCTGGGCAGAGTGACCTGTCCTAGCCACCCTACCTTCTCAGATCATGTTCAGTGATGAAAGATTTCTACCAAACAAGCCAGGGTCCTCAGGGCCCAAGTCCACTCTAGAAGAGGTTGATGAAGTGTCTTGTATTAGCCCCGAGTGGTTGGTGACAGCAGAGACACTAGCTGAGCTGGAGCCAGTTTGTCTGCCATTGAGAGCATTCGTGGCAGAGAAATACCAGTTGCTATAGGGAAGCAGAGCCAACCTTGGCAGAGCTATCTGGCAAGACGTGATGGCTGTGGTTGGGAAGCAGGCTTCAAAGTTTATTATCTAATTTGTAGTTATTGGGGCTACTTTGCTACTGCCACAGGCGGCACAAAATGTTAAGGATGACAGAGCATAGGGTCTTGAGTAAGATTATAAACTCTGACAACTGACTTCTTAAGTTAAAATTCTGGCTGCATCACTTAGCTAAATCATTAACTTAGCTTACTGAATTAGTCACTTGGCAAGTGACTTAATCTTGCTTGCCTCCATTTTCTCATCTATAAAATGAGCATACTATTTGTAACCTACTCCATAGGTTTATTGTGAGATTTAAATACATTATTGAAATAAAGTGCTTAATTATCTGGGTGTGATATCATGTACCTGTAATCCCAGCTACTCGGGAGGCTGAGGCAGGAGCATGGCTTGAACCCAGAAGGCGGAGGTTGCAGTGAGCTGAGATCGCGCCACTGCGCTCCAGCCTGGGCCACAGAATGAGACACCATCTCAAAAAAATAAAATGAAATAAAATAAAATAAAATAGTGCTTAAAATAGTCCTAGTACTTCATAATTATTAAATAAACATAACTATTATTTTTCAAGTGTTAACGTTCATTTGCAAAGTGAATGATTATTTCTGCTCAACATGAGTGAACCATTCTTTCACATCACATACATGGTACATTTCAAGTTATAAATCTTTCATCAAGGGGATGAGTTTTTAAAAGTAGACATGCTATTGCTGATTTTGACATCAGTATTCATTTACGGCAACTCATGTATTACATAACATATAATACTAGTACAAGACATATTGAGCTTGAAACACGTATCTTATGGATGTTTTATTAACTGATTTGTATTTATTTTTCCACACTTTAAAGTTTGATTCATATTCAGATTAAAGATAATGAGATTTCTTTTATTGGCCATCCTCAGAACTCTTTCTTTAATGCCCTGTTGTTGTCCGAAGATACTGCTTATACTTTACTGGCTGAAGGGAATAATTCAAATTCCAGTCAGAAAGTACAATGAATACTTTTTGAAATAATTCAATCTCAGAACACTTAAAGCTTGGTTAATCCATGTCTACATGGCATCAATTAACTATATAATTGAATTATACATTCCAACCTCAATCTAAATTATGAAAATAATGAATAAAAGAAATTGATTTGGTTTAAACTTTTTATGCAATTCCAACAATAGTTGTCATAGTAAAGATCTGAAAAAAAAACCCTTTAATAGTTCTCCATATTTCATCAGAAATAGGGTAACTTTAAAATATTTGCTATGCAGGACACTACTCTGTCACCAATTAAATCACCAATTGGGCAAAGAACTAGTCGTAGAGGTTTTTTCTACCTTCAGATTGCATTTCAGTGTCTTCAAACAGTTTCTATTAACTCTCTTGCCTTCATCTACTGCCCCAGGAATCTGATATGTATAGTTTTCTATGACTTTGATGGAAGTCACACATTGAAAATGATTTTAACCAATACTTTTCAGTTACTCTACAACATAAATGAGTTTGGGCAAACTTCTTAATTATTGATATTAAGGGATAAAAAATGATTTAAGCTTCTTATTTTAGAAATATTTTTTAAGCCTTATTTGAAATCTCCTGACACTGATTATAGTCTTCTAATATAGACCCCAATATTCAACTACCATGACTCAAAACTAATTTTAAATATACCTCTTCTCTTTACCGCTAAGTAAAGTACAGCTTTACTGTTTACACCTAAGAAAAGCACCCGTTTCATTTTCATAACATGATTGAGTTCACTAAAAAATTAAATGTGAGTAGATTCTTAGGTTTACTGTTTTTAAAATGTAATGTTATTCAAGGAATAACAAATTTTTCTTTTTTTTTCAACTTTCATGTCCCAGATCATCCTTTCTTCCTTTTTTTTATTATTGTACTTTAAGTTTTATGATACATGTGCAGAACGTGCAGGTTTGGTACATAGGTATACATGTGCCATGGTGGTTTGCTGCACCCATCAACCCATCATCTAGGTTTTAAGCCCTGCATGAATTAGATGTCTGTCCTAATGCTCTCCCTCCCTTGCCCCTGACCTCCTGACAGGCCTCAGTGTGTGATGTTCCCCTCTCTGTGTCCTTTTCTTGTTTGCCTAAGAGCTACCACCTCATATTGGAACTCAGAAGCTGGTGCACTTTTCATAATGTTGAATTTTACTCATTTACTAAGTTAAAAGATTCTTAAGGTATTCCTTCATATTGGAACTCATACAGTGCACTGTGAAAGGTTGGCTATCTGTTATTAGTAAATCTTATTTTCAAAAGACACCCGAAATTTAACTCAAGAAATGAAAATCATTTCAGATTTAGCTCAATAAATGAAAATAAGATGCATATAACTTTTAAAATATTACTTCTAATTTTATTTCAATGTATCAGTTAAATTCATTTTAAGACAGTAAGACAATAAAGGCTTACCCCTATTTTATCTCTAAAATAAAGACTCTTACTGCACTGGGTTTATAGTTCATCATATATATTCACATAGATTTTTGTGTGCATATTATATATATATTGGCATATAATATGATATATCATGAATATGTAGATAAGAATGTGTATGTGCCTGAGTTACTGAAAATAGTAACTTCAAAAGAGTCAAAATGATACACACATAAATTCATGTTTGTGGTTAATATATTTGATAAAATTATATCCATTTAAAAAATTGATTGTCCAATTCTAAAGTCTAAAATGAAACTGTGCCAAGACTTCAGTCATCATTTATGTCAACTAAATCTTATAAATTAATTTTAGAGATAGTGCTAAACAATAAAAGAGGATATGTGCTAAATCTATGTTTAATTAGATTAAAATTTTCAGTGAAATTGAATTATTAAAACTAACATTTATTTTGTTATTGTTTGTATTTTTACAATTGTCTTAGAAATATTCAAATGAATTTTCCTCGATTCTTGGCATGTAAAATCCCATATCCTTATCCCTAAATATTTACTTTGACAAAAAACATATGGCTTATACCTGGCACAATACTTAGAATATTATAACTGAATAATTTTTAGGTATTATTGTTTGATTGATTTTATGCAAGGAACAATCACAATAATATATATAATGTGCATAACACAGTGCCTGGTGTTACACATTCTTAATAAAGATTAGGTAATATTATATTTTCATTATTGTATTCATAGTGGTGGATATAAATTCAAAAGAATTCACATATACTTTAAAAAGGTCCAAGGTAGATTTTTTTGATAAATGCTCATGATTATATTATGCTACTTGAATGCTGTAATATGTCAACTTAAATGAGAAAAGATAGAATGCTTCTCTATAGATTTCTGTTTTTGCACGTTTTAAGTTTTGCTTTTGAGTGGAAGAAAGATGCATGAGTAGGCGCAATAAGGAAGAGGAAACAGACCAAGCAGTATTCCCACCTCACTCAAAGAAAAGGAGTGAGATAGGAATAATCCCACCAAAATCAAAGCAAAGCAACACATTTTGATAACTTTACCAGCTCAGTCTGAGAAGTGGAAGTAAAAGATTACTTCTATCATTGCAACTTTTTCTTCTTCAGGTAGGAAATGCACGGAAAAGACGCTGAGAGTTCTCATCAATCATACAGAAACAATGCAAACTATATCATTGTTATTAGCTTGGTGCAAAAGTAATTGCAATTTGCACCAAGCTAATATAAGAATTAATTAATCAATGAGATTATATACATAGAATTCCAGAATTATAAGTGTGTAACTGTTATTACAGGGATACTTCATTTTATGGTGCTTTGCTTTATTGTACTTTGCAGATACTGCATTATTTACAAATTGAACGTTTGTGGCAACCTTGCATTGAGCAGGCCTATCAGCACCATATTTCCAACATCATGGGCTCATTGTATATCTCTGTGTCATATTTTGGTAATTCAAAAATTACTTTTAATGTCTTCATTATTATTATATCTGTTGATGGTAATCTGTGATCAGTGATTTTTGTTGCTACTATTGTAATTGTTTTGTGGTGCCATGAAGTGCACCTGTTATGGTCTGACTCTGTGTCCCCACCCAAATCTCATCCAGAATTGCAATCCAATTGTAATCCCCACATGTTGGGGGAGGGACCTCGTGGGAGATGGTTAGATCATGGAGGTGGTTCTGTCATGCTGTTCTCATGATAGTGAGTGAGTCACACAAGAGTTGATGGTTTTATAAGCATCTGGCATTTCCCTTGCTGGCACTTCTCTCTCTTGCCAACATGTGAAGAAGGAAGCATTTGCTTCCCCTTCTGCCATGATTGTAAGTTTCATGAGGCCTCCCCAGCCATCCAGAATTGTGAGTCAATTAAACTTCTTTCCTTTGTAAATTACCCAGTCTTGAGTATTTCTTCATAGCAGCATAAAAACAGACGAACACAGCACCCATATAAGGTGTCACATTTAGATCAATGTTGTGCATCATTCTGACTGCTCCACCAATCAGCTGTTTCTATCTCACTCCTTTTCCTTGAGCAACCCTATTACCTGATACACAAAAATATTGAAATGAGGCCAATTAATAACCCTACAATAACCTCTAAATGTTCAAGTGAAAGGAAGACTACCACATCTCACACCTTAAATGAAAAGCTAGAAATGGTTAAGCTTAATGAGAAAGGCCTGTTGAAAGTTGAAATAGTTGAAACCTAGGGCCCTGCATCAGTTTTCTAAATTGTGAATTCAAAAGAAAATTTCCTTAAAGCATATTAAAAGATCTACTTCAGTGAATACATGAATGAAAATAAAGTGAAACAGCTTTACTGCTGATAGGGAGGAAGTTTGAGTGGTCTGAAAAGAAGATAAAACCAGCCACAACATTCCCTTGGATGAATACCTAATCCAGAGCAAGACCCTAATGCTCTTCAGTTCTGTGAGAGGTTAGGAAGCTGCAGAAAAGTTGGAATCTAACAGAGGTTGGTTCATGAGGTTTAAGGAATAAGTCATCTCCATAACATAAAATGCAAGGTGAAGCAGCAAGTGCTGATATCAAAGCTGCAGCAAGTTATCCAGAAGATCTAGCTAAGATCATTGATGAAGGTGGTTACACTAAACAATATATTTTCAGTGTAAACAAAACAGCCTACTACTGGAGGAAGATCCCATCTACAACTTTTTTAACTACATAGAAGTCAATGCTTGGCTTCAAAGTTCGAAGGACAGGCTGTCTCTCTTAGAGCCTAATGCAGCTGGTGATAAGTTGAAACCAACACTCATTTACCATTCCAAAAATTCTAGGGTTCTTAAGAATTATGCTAAATCTACTCTGCCTGTGCCCTAAATGGAACAACAAAATCTGAGTGATAGCATGATTGTTTATAACACAGTTCACCTAATATTTTAGACTCACTGTTGAGACCCACTGCTCAGAAAAAAAAAAGATTTATTTCAAAATATTACTGCTCATTGACAATGTACCTGGTCACTCAAGAACTCTGATGGAAATGTAGCAATAGATTAATGTTATTTTCATGTCTGCTAAGACAGCATCCATTCTGTAGCCCAAAGACCAAAGAGTATTCTCGACTTCAAAGTCTTATTATTTAAGAAATATCTCACATAAGGCTATAGTTTCATAGATAGTGATTCCTTTGTTGGATCTCAACAAAGTAATATAAAAACTTGTGCAAAAGATTTTCCAAGCAAGATGCTCTTAAGAACATTTGTGTTTTTTGGAAGTAGGTCAAAATATCAACATTAACAGCAGTGTGGAAGATGTCAATTCCCAACCTCATGGACGATTTTGAGGGATTCAATACTTCCATGGAGAAAGTAACTGCAGACGTGATGACAATTGCAAGAGAGCCAACATTAGAAGTGGGGCCTGAAAATGTGACTGAATTGCTGCAATCTTGTGATAAAGCTTTAATAAATAGGAATTGCTTCCAACGGATGAGCAAATAAACTGATTTCTTGAGCTAGAATCTACTCCTGGTGAAGATGCTTTGAACAATGTTGAGATGACAGAAAATGTTGAGAATATTAAATTTATAAACTAAGTTGATAAAGCAGCAGCAAGGTTTGAGAGAATTGACTCCAATATTGAAAGAAGTTTTACTGTGGGTAAAATGCTATCAAATAGCATCACATGCACAGAGAAACCCACAGATAAATTCTGCTTATTAAAAAAGGTATATAAAAATATTTTTTCCAAGTATAAAGAATATGCTTATTATAGAGCCAAAAGAACAAAAGTAAAGGGCCGGGCGTGGTGGCTCACATCTGTAATCCCAGCATTTTGGAGGCCGAGGCAGGTAGATCACGAGGTCAGGAGTTCAAGACTAGCCTGGCCAACATGGTGAAACCCTATCTGTACTAAATACACAAAAAATTAGCTGGGCTTCGTAGTAGCAGGCACCTGTAATCCCAGCTACTTTGGAGGCTGAAGCAGGAGAATCGCTTGAAACCAGAAGGTGGAGGATGCAGTGAGCCGAGATTGCACTAATGCACTCCATCCTGGTCAACAAGAGCAAAACTCTGTCTCAAAATACATAAATAAATAAATAAAATTGAAATAAAATTATATATATAGATGTGTGTGTGTGTGTATACATATATATATATATATTTTTTTTTTTGAGACGGTGTCTCACCCTGCCGCCTAGGCAGAAGTGCAACAGTGCCATCTCAGCTCACTGCAACCTCTGCCTCCTGAGTTCAAGCAATTCTCCTGCCTCAGCCTCCCAAGTAGCTGAGGCTACAGGCATGTGCCGCCATGCCTGGCTAATTTTTTGTATTTTTAGTAGAGATGGGGTTTCACCATGTTATCCAGGATGGTCTCGATCTCCAGACCTCATGATCCGCCCACCTCAGCCTCCCAAAGGGCTGGAATTACAGCCGTGAGCCACTGTGTCCAGCCAAAATAAAATATTTTTAAAACCTATGGTATCAGGGCATAAACTATACTTCAAGTTAGTATTAGTTTTAGTAATAGCAATAGATGTGAATACAATGGAGAAGTGATTTACTTATGCAATAATTTTCATCTTGAGAGTGTCAGGCTGTAATGAGTAAAGTGGGATACAGAAAAAGTGAAATAAGAAGACATTTATAACAATAAGCAGAACTCCATACTCCCAGCTCTTCCCAAAGATAGCTTTAATTTACAAGATGTCTTTATTTAAATAGTGAGTCTGATGACATAGCATGAAAAAGCTACTTTAAAATACATTAATATGTATGTAATTATCCATATCAAAATAGGTAGAATGAATCACGATTTTATAATTTGAAGTATCCCTCCAGGAAATACCTGTGTTCTAATAATGATGATTTGTTTTCAAATGAAAGCTAAAATGGGCCCCAAGCTTGTGCAAGACATGTATGTGGTACAAATGTCTGTATTTTTAAACTATTTTCATGGAACATATTCGGTACCTTTTTACTTTTGACTTAATATAAAAGTATAAATTATTCATGCCATACAGAGATGTATAATTGCTCTCATAATATTCTGTAAGCAGAAAGTCATTTCAGGTGAAGGATGGGGACTCTTATCTGGAGTTTCCTGTATCATCAACTAACTGGCTGCCTTGCTCCAATCTAAGAAGATATTCAGTTAATGCTTCCATTATGTTGTTCATCACTAGTTTTACATTAGTTTGGACATGGTGTAAATTGCTCTAATATGGCTAATTTAAGAAAATTACATGAAACAGAAGTTAAAATCAACATGCTTATATAGAAAGAGTCTATATATGGAGAAAGAAATGCTATTCAGGGTGCAAACAACCAGGTTAAGTAGATTATACAACACATGAATAAAATGACATTAATATGGGGGTAATTGTTCATAGCATAAAAACGTGAATAGAGGATAAGAAGAAGTGGGGGAGATATAGCTACTGATAACAATGGATTTTGGACTAGACATTTGAAGAATAGAAGAAACTGAATTACACAAAAGAATGGTTCCATGTACTAATTTTGTGTTTTCACAAAATGTTATTTTATTTTTAGCCAAGTGGTAATAATATTGATTAAAACAAAATACTATTGAACACATATTCTTTGTCAAGAAGTGTTTAAGCACATTTATTATTAATAATTCCTCCATACTCTCAGAAAGCTTGCATAGAAGATATTATCATGACTTCTATTTCACAGATGAGGATGCTTGTACAAAGAGAGATGAGCAAATTTGTCCAGGTTCATAAAGCATCTAATGGGAGGGCGAGAATTGAGTCCAGTCAGGATGCTTCAGGGCTGATGATCTTAACCACTATATTAACCAATCTTTCTAATACACATTTATGTGCATTTACTCACTCCTCATAGAACTTTTATTAGGAGATCACACCTAGCCTAATGTAAAGTATGATGCATACGAGTTGCTCAATAATTAAAAATACTGTTATATAGGAGGTGCTCAATAATTAAAAGCTATGATTCTTTCTGAAATAAAAACCTAGCTAATTTTACCAGGCAGATGTTTCTCCTTGCCAAATCATACTACACTGTATTTTCTGCAGATAATACAAGATAAATAATTATAAAAATAAAAGGAATACACAGTGTAGGGTTTGAATCATCAAACTATGTTAGCTATGGACATTGCCTAAACCTTAACATCTTATAATAAATTGTAGAGTTTTTTTTTACAAAAATTAAAATCAGAAGTATATGTCAAGTTTCATCCTCTTCAATTTAATTAATATGTCACTTTATAATTTTGACTAAGTTTATAAAAGTTTTCTGACTATAAAGATACAATTCTGTTTTAAATAGAGTTGGGCATTCTCTTTTTCTTTTGGTTTATTAACCAGAGTTAAAACTGCTATTTCAAGTATTTCCAGGATTCAATATTTTACACTATTCCCCAGGCATATGTTTTCCTTGTAAAATGTAATGTATCATATATGTCCAAGAGGGTATATATAAATTTATGTACATATATATACACACATATATATTCATATGTGTTTGTGTGTATGAAAGAGAGTGAGAGCAAGAATGAGAGGGGAGAGAAAACTTGTATTCAAAGTAATACATGGCTTCATTCTAAGTGACTATTACTAGAGGTCTTGTTTATTATGCAAACACACGTTCCTTCACCTCCCCTGATACCTCACACACGCTCCCCATTCTCAGCCTGCCATGTATATTTTAATTATTCCAAAGGAGTGATTGAAGATTGTTCCACTTCCCTGCATGGTCCTGTAAAATGCTGAATTGATCTTATGTAAGCAAAGGTTTTATGTATAAGGGTTGGGATGCTTAAAATTATAAGAAAAATAAAATATAACTTAAAAGTGAAGTAAGGAGTCTTGTTTTGTCACATGCAAAAGAAGCCAGGTAGTCTACGTCCAGGCTTCAGCTCTATTTTCTGTATTTTTCTTTGTTTTGTCCTCCTTGATAGTTTGATGCCATTATCAAGTTGGATCTGGTAATGTTTGAGAGGGAAAAGCCTTCACTTCTTACTACCTTCTTTCAAAGGCAACACAACCTTATACAGAAGACCCCCAGCCGTCTATCTGTTATAGTCACTAGTTAGAGCAGTAAATAGAGACCACTAGAATTGGTCAACATCCATCAGAATTTTTTTCTGGAGCATGATACAAATACATTGTAACTTGAATCAGTTCATGGACTTTCCAGAAGTACATACCTTTGAATACAGCTGAGGTCCCTCAGCAATTTTTTAAGACAATTTAATAGTCACCACAAAATGTCTGCAATGAGATATTATGTAATCCTATTCAGGGACATGAAATAAGGTTGTCTATATCAATCTAGAATAAAGCACTGTGATTTCATAATCACGTAAACCAAATAACCAATTCACTAATCATAAATGTTTATCCTATCATGTTGGATTTTAAAATGCTCGATAGAGAATTTGACCAATGGCTCAATATAGAATCTGGAACTCTGAGGAATTAAAACACGTTACTCATAACAGTTGATCAATAGAACATAATTATTCAAGTAGATTCTCCAAGAACAATGGATTTTTCCCTTCTATTGCTTATCCAATATTTTTATTTTTTCTTTGCAAATACACATACGATAATCATGCATTAATAGCCCTAAGATAACTGTAAAGCAAAAGAGCTTTGAATACACTAGGGAAAGTGATGGGAAGGGAGTTAAATTGATTAACATTTCCAAAGTATAAATGCCTCATAATTTGTTGAGAAGCTTCAAAAATGTACACAATTGGAAAGGGTTTTGTTTTTAATTGTGTAGCTTAGAAAGGAAAATGCAGGACAGTGTAGAGATGGTTTACTCTGTGTGTATCAGAAACACTCTAAAATATAATTCCCAGAAATTCAAATTGCATTTGACAAAAGAAAAAATGTAGTGGCTCATTCAGATAATTAAAGATTTTCCTTTTTATTCCCCAGAGTAAATGAAAATGTAGTGAATTGAAACAATTTAGCATGTAAAAGAATCTTTTACTTTTTTCTGAATTGCATCAAGTGCATTTCTCTGCTGTTGAGAATATATTAATCAGTAGCATAAAATACTCCTTATGTACTGATTAATCTGTACTCTCTAATCCAAATATATGTTCATTTCTAACATAACATAAAGGTACATCTTCAATGCCCAGAGAAAAGCTGAGTCACAGGACTTTTACATATTTCCTACCCTAAAAATGGATGTATATAGTGGTGATATACAAGAAAAAATGCTAATATTGTGATTATTAAAGTGAATTTAATCATATAGTAAAATGTCTGATACTGCTTCCAATATCCTGCCATCTATAGTTGAATCTATGAAATATCAGAAAAATATCCTCTTCCAGATAAAAAACAATAGAGATTATGGTTTAATTAAAAAATCAACAAAGCTTGCCAGGCATGGTGGCTCACACCTGTAATCCCAGTACTTTGGGAGGCCGAGGTGGGCAGATTACCTGAGGTCAGTTCAAGACAAGCCAGGCCAACATGGTGAAACCCCGTCTCTACTAAAAATACAAAAATTAGCCGGTCGTGGTGGTGAGTGCCTGTTGTCCCAGCTACTTGGGAGGCTGAGGCAGAAGAATTGCTTGAACCTGGGAGGCGGAGGTTGTAGTGAGCCGAGATTGTGCCATTGCATTCCAGCTTAAGCGACAAGAGCGAAACTCTGCTTCAGAAAAATAAATAAATAAATAAATAAATAAATAAATAAATAAATAAATAAATAATCAACAAAGCTTTTGGCAGTTAGGCATCACACATATTTAATGGGAGATGTAATAATATGTTAATATCTGATCTATTATTTACTCGCTTCAAAAATTAAGTCAGCCCAGAGACTAAAAGAATTTTTGAGTGGCTCTATTTCAGTCCTCTTCAATCTTTAAGTGTACCAATCATCTGTGTTTGAATGTATTTTATTTGATTTATACCTGTTCATATTGCTTTATACATGTTTATATCTTCCCTCTTATATTATCTTAGGACTCCTTAAGAATGGGAAGCACTTCTTTTGAGTGGAGGATATTGCTCAGAGGAGAGTGGCACCACTTGAGTTAATTTCTACTTCAGTACTATTTTCCCCCAATTTGTGTTATAAAATACAAATTCTGTTCCTGGAAACAGAAACTGTGCCTTCTTATCTACAACTGATGACTTCTAAAATAAATACACTTCAATGAATATATTGATTATTGTTAAAACAATAGAGCCACATAAATGAGGCCAATTTTTAATATCAATTCTCTTCCAAAGTAAGAAAACTACATACGAGAGAGCAGAACCTTTCTCTTTAAACAGAAAGCTGAATTATAGTAACAAGCCTAGTAGTTAAGTATTCCTGAAGTTAAGACTATAGTAACTAGCTTGTTAAAATATAACAAAATTGTACCTTAGCTGACTGTTACAGATTTTCCAGAGTTCCTGATATTGAAACTAATTGACAAGGGAAAGTGTTCGTGTTATAATCAGTCACTATAATTTCTGCTTAAAAGTAGTACATGTTTCTGCTATTTCCAATTTTTTTCCACAAATAATTTTCCTAAGCATTCTAACCTCCTGCTGATTGATGTTATACATAATGGGTACCCCATTTATAATTTGAACGTAGCATTTTGTCCAAGACTGATTCTCATACCTCTGCTGTTCTCTGGCTAGAGCTCATGTCTGATTTAATTTGTTGTCCTTGAAATCTGGTGGCTGTTTTCTCAAGTAGCTAAGAAACTTCATGCTAACAAAAACTTATTTAGAGAAAAGTTATTGTGAAAAGAATGTTCTCAGTTCTCAAACTGAGGGTCATTTACAACAGCATGACCTTGACAAATGTCTATACGTCAAAGAATGTCTCGCCATAAACAATTTGGGGTGACAGGCCTATAACACATTGCACACACAGATTGGATTCCCAGCAGGCCTGTGCCAGCTCACACTTCTTGCCTCACACAAGCACTACCAGGAAAGTTACAGTTAGAGAAGAAGACATTTCTTTCTGAAATCAAGGAAACAAACCCTTGTATTGCAAATTCACCCATTCAATATATTAGCTGTAATTGTGTCTCTAATAGGGCCAGTGAGGTGTGATTTGTTGTCAGGCTCTTCAAAGGTTCAAAGCTGCTGGCAAATGATGAAGACTTTTGTGATCCAGCTGTCATGGCCATTCCCAATCATATCTCCTCACAACAACCTCTGATAATTACTCACACACCTTGGTTCATAAAAGTCAAGCCAAATTAAATTTCTGACTTCAACTTGTATGTATTGAACACTTTTATACTTCTTTACCTGATATCTCTGTTTAAGATATAATTTTGCTGTCATTAACTCTACTAAAAATAATATAGAATGAATAAAACCATGGAGAGACATTAGGAAAAAAGTGAGAACATAAATTTATTCAAACATTTAAAAAATGTTTAACTTTACAAATGATTTTTCAAAGGAATGAAGTTCCATTTTACAGCTATTAAATCACATATTCATGGGTTTGTGTATGTGTGTTTACCCACACATATCTGAGTTTATGTTGACAAGGATACAGATTAATAGTTGTATTCAGTAAAAAAAACCACAATCAAATATATGTAAAGTAAGTTCATATATTTTTGTCTCAGCAATATTACTTCCAGGCACCAATCCCAAGGAAATAATATAAAAACAGTAAATATATATTTAAATAAATATATAATAGAGTAAATAAATACATACATATAGATTTTCAGAGCAATGTGGTTCTTTAAAAAAATGATGGGAAATAGCCATTTTTTTCTAATGGTAGGGAAGTATGTTTTAAAAAAAGAAATTAGCAAATGGCAAATTAAAATGATAAATATCTAGCATAGTTGTGAAGAACACATTATATTGATATGTTGCCTGAGTTTGAACCCTAGGTTTACTATTGGGTAATCATGACACCTTTTGCCAATTACTTAAATTTGCTAACTCAAAGTTTCCTCTTGTGTATAAAGTAGAGTTCATAATAACACTTAACTTCAAAGTTATTGTGAAGGTGAAATAAACATATTTAAAACACATGGTAAGTTCCCTGTTTGTTTCAGTTATTATGATTATGATTTTTATCATCATTGTACTATATAAACACTATGAAGTTTTAAGATAAGAAGGTCATCAGGTGAAATTAAAAATTGTATCATTGCATTTCTAATAAAAACATAGATGCATACACCCCCCAAAAATGGAATTGAGTTACAAAATGGCCAGGATGTTTTTAAGTTGATGAGATTTTATTTGACTTTTACCATATATTATGGTGCCTGACTTTTACTTACTAATACATTCCTAACATTAAATACTTTATAATAGCTTTCTATATGAATGGCTTCTCCTGCATTCTCCAGAATGATATTAACACTGTTGCAATGGAATCCTTTTCTATCCTTTACCCTACTCTTTTCCTTTCTTTCTTTATTTTTATTTTTTCTGTTATTGCGTTAACAAAATCATTAGTGTGGATTCAAAATAGTTGCCTTACAGGCTCTGAATGATATTAGCAGGAAGAATCTTGAGATGAAACACTCAAGCTTTTTCTTTCCCAAAGCCTTAATTTCTGGATCCAATAATCATATAAATTCACTTCTATTTGATTGTGTATTTACATTTGGAAGTATATCTATAGAAATAGTGTATGCACTTGCATTTCTCTGATGGCCAGTGATGATGAGCATTTTTTCATGTATTTTTTGGCTGCATAAATGTCTTCTTTTGAGAAGTGTCTGTTCATGTCCTTCGCCCACTTTTTGATGGGGTTGTTTGTTTTTTTCTTGTAAATTTGTTTGAGTTCATTGTAGATTCTGGATATTAGCCCTTTGTCAGATGAGTAGGTTGCGAAAATTTTCTCCCATTTTGTAGGTTGCCTGTTCACTCTGATGGTAGTTTCTTTTGCTGTGCAGAAGCTCTTTATTTTAATTAGATCCCACTATGAGATACCATCTCACACCAGTTAGAATGGCAATCATTAAAAAGTCAGGAAACAACAGGTGCTGGAGAGGACGTGGAGAAACAGGAACACTTTTACACTGTTGGTGGGACTGTAAACTAGTTCAACCATTGTGGAAGTCAGTGTGGCGATTCCTCAGGGATCTAGAACTAGAAATACCATTTGACCCAGCCATCCCATTACTGGGTATATACCCAAATGACTATAAATCATGCTGCTATAAAGACACATGCACACGTATGTTTATTGCGGCACTATTCACAATAGCAAAGACTTGGAACCAACCCAAATGTCCAACAATGATAGACTGGATTAAGAAAATGTGGCACATATACACCATGGAATACTATGCAGCCATAAAAAATGAGTTCACGTCCTTTGTAGGGACATGGATGAAATTGGAAATCATCATTCTCAGTAAACTATCTCAAGAACAAAAAACCAAACACCTCATATTCTCACTCATAGGTGGGAATTGAACAATGAGATCACATGGACACAGGAAGGGGAATATCACACTCTGGGGACTGTTGTGGGGTGGGGGGAGGGGGGAGGGATAGCATTGGGAGATATACCTAATGCTAGATGACGAGTTAGTGGGTGCAGTGCACCAGTACAGCACATGTATACATATGTAACTAACCTGCACAATGTGCACATGTACCCTAAAACTTAAAGTATAAAAAAAAAAAGAAATAGTGTATGCATTACATTGCCATTATTATAAAACCATGCAATGATATTAAGTAAGTTACTACTCTTTGGTAATTTCAATATTACATAAAATGACTGAAACATTTCTGAGATTTGTATCGTATTTTTTAAATGGTTTCAGAAAGTTGTAACATGACAGTTTCTTTCTCTAAATAGGGCCTTGACATAGTTTACATAGTTGTCTATGTAAAAAACTGAGATTGGGTTTGTTGTTTGAGGGTAAGCCACCTGCCATGAAGGCTATTTATTATATGCTCACATATGTTAGTGTTATTTTCTTGGAGAAAAGCCATGTATTTTTTTTTTTTTTTTGGCTTTCTTTCTCTCCTAGAGCTATCCTCTTGACACCCGTGTGGGACACATGCAAATTTAAAAACAACTAAATATCTTGAAAATAAGTATCAGCCAAATGATGTTTATTATTTTGGGGGAATACTTTTCTCCAGTGTTTGATTTATATTTGCGTTACTTAGAGTAGTGGCTACATTAATTTGTATGAAAATTGGCAAAACAAATTTACTTCAGACTGTGACCTTATATGACAAGATGAGCCCAGTATGAACTTTTACAGTTGCATTATTATAAACCTCCAAAGAGCAGTTTTTATTATGAAAATGCTGATATTACTTCAACTGTAGCAATATCTGTGATCTGGTCATGCTTTTGTTAAGGAACAGGTACAGGTATACCAACTATTAACAACTAGTACATCTTGAAAGTAAAATGACCAAAAGGGTGGGGAAAGCTGAAAATAGAGAAATGGTGATGGGAAATAAATCAATGAATAATAAATATAAGATAACTCAGAAAATAAGCAATCTTTGCTATATTTATTTTTAAGGCAAATCATATCAATAAACTGTATAAATTTGTGAACGAGTAATATGTAATATTTTGTATGTGTCTATTGCAAAAAAAAATTTCTGTAGAATGTGGCATATTAGATTGATGCAAATTTCCATTGAAGTCCCATAGCTTTTAGCACAATAAAGTACTTGTTTTAATGTCCCTTGATTATGTGTATATACACACACACACACACACACACATATATATATAGTCTTAGGTAGTATGTATATATACACATATTGTCTTCTAGGATATAAATGTAATTGTTTATGCCTTTATGATAATATGTATAACTGAAATGGGCTCTCTGTGTTTATTGTGTTACTATTATCGGAACAGAAATAAGCCAGTTATCTACTTAAGAATATAATTCTATGAGTCAAAGCTGTTGGGTTTTTCAAGTCATTCCCACTTATAAAAAGACAATTTGATTTTTACCAAATGTTGTAAAATATGTCAACGTCTTAAAGCAAACACTAAATCTTGTCTGAAGCGTTAAGGCACTGATCTAATTGATCATTTGTATCTTTTATGATGTTAGAATTGTTCTGTGAAGGTGACAATTGGTACCTATCTTGTTTAAATCTAATCTCCGAAAATTTAAAACTAACTCTGTGCTGGTAAGAATTACATTTTTAAGTAGTTCCACCAACACTACTAAAGAGAACGAGGAAAATTTAGGTATCTTGCTTTTTGTTTGTTTATTCCATGTATCTCTTCTCAGAATGCAACTTGCTAAAAAATCATTTAAAACATAGAAAAGATAAATGGCTGTGGATTGTAGAAAAAATTATTCTCGTCTGAGCAGTTGGTGTTGACCAAGTTCACTGAAGTTACTTTATTAATTTGGACTATAGAATATATACTAACAAGGCAGTGTGGTTGAACCATAATACACAAAATTATCAATTTCACAGAATAAATAAAATAATGTTGAATAATATTGCATTTTCATTGGTTCAACCCACATTCTCAAATTAGAGATGATACATGTGCATGTGCACATGGGTGCACAAACACACACACAAGAATTTAAAAGAGAGGATAGATGTTATTTGTTCAAAATCTTCATATTTCAAACAGTAAATTAGCATGGAATTATAAGACATTGTGTTCTGGTTATTAGAAAGGAAAAGTAAGACCTATATGATCCAATTGTAAAGGATAATTCATTTTTATTTTCTTACACCACCAGAGTTGGTATTTGATAGTATCATTTCTGGATTTAATAGACACACATGCTCACTTTTTAAGGAGATATTTCCAATTACATGTTTTTAATTACGCTTTTGCCCTTTTTCTTCAGTATGGTAAATTATAGCACTGCTCACCTTTAGGGTCTTCTACTAGTAATCTCTGTATATGTTTTATTATTTATTTGCCAGAATTTTGATCTCAGGATTCTCAATTCGGTCAGCTTCAAAGTTTACCTCAGCAAAGGCTGAATTAATTATACTTGAGTAGTTTGTTCTCCAAGGCAAATATCTTTAAAAATATATTGGTGCTAGTAAAAAAAAAAAGTCCTTTGCATATCTTAAATTACCTCCAGATCAAGAAATTATATGAAAGAATAACAGAATAACAAAGCAAATATTTTATGTATATTTATGCAAAGCACTGGTAGTTTCATTATTCTCAGTTTCAGCCCATGAAAATAGTATAGTTTCATTGGACAACAAATTAAAACTTAAAATTGATAATATTGTTATATCCAGTGGTCCTTTGTGGTAGATAAATTATTCATAATTAGAACGATGGCTACTGACATTTTTACTATCTTATTTGAAATGTTTCAGAGCTGAGAAGCTATGATGGTTTATACCAGAAGTATTCAAACAAGAGTAATATAATTCCGTGAATTAGGCCTAGCGTACTGCATACAAATTCTAGAACCTACAATAATATATGTTTTTTTAAATCCCCAATTTTTTACTGATGGTTATAAATTATAATAAAAATAACTTGGCTATGTGGAACGTTCATATATTTAACTTAAAAATTATGTTTTAGACCATTGAGGATCAAAATTAATTAGATAAGTACTTCTCATACTATCTGGGTGAATGACATTTGCTTTTGTTTTCATTGTCAATTTATTATGGGCCAATATTTGAGTTTATATATTGTTCAGTGAGACAAGTCCAGTACTCACTGCAATTTATGCTGTTGGTATAAAATATCCAAATAAACACATTAAAATTTTACATTTGTGTGTAGAAAAAAACTATCATTCTAATTAAATAAATGCAATGGCACTGACTAGATCTGTGATGTGTTTATCTGTAATAATAGAAATGATGTTACAATACAATCATGAATCACTTAATTCCAGGAGACGTTCTAAGAAATGCATCATTAGGTGATATTCTTGCTGTGTGAATATTGCAGAGTGTACTTAACGCAAACCTAGGTGGCATAGCCTCCTACACACCTAGGCTACGTGGTATAGCCTATTGCTCCTAGTCTCCAAATCTGTACAGCATGTTACTTACTGAATACTGTAGACAACTGGTAAATATTTGTGTATCTAAAAATATCTAAACATAGAGAAGATACAGTAAATATATGGTATAAAAGGTAAAAAGTGATACACCTGTAAGGGACACCTATCATCCATGGAGCCTGCAGAACTGAAAGCTGTTCTGAGTAAGTCAGTGAATGAGTGGTGAGTGAATGTGAAGGCCTAGGACTTTTTTTTTTTTTAACTTTTAACATTTTATGAAAACAGAGCATTTGAACAGTTTCTATGCAGAGATGGTTTTACTATAGATATGCTGTTATCTTATTCTTTTAAGAGGTTGGTGGTGGGGAGATACAGAGGCCAGGCTAGCCCTGTGCTTGGGATCATAGCTCGGGAGTTAAGGCACTCAGACTCTCTGAACTCCACAGAGCATCGTTGAAGCCATTGAAACTGCTGAAGACTGTCTCTACCAGCCTTTTGTCTTTCAAAACTATAGGATGGGCACGGGCCTGAGACAAGCTTCAGGCCAATGGGTTTTTATGGGCTGTTTAAGAACCAGTACTAAGGATACATTCTTTGTTTTTCATTCTAAAAATGTGACCCAAAAGAATAATTTACGCCAACTGATTTTTATTATCGAGTTTCAGAAACCTTTCACAAGATGGTAAAAAACAAAAAATAAAAGCAAAAAAAACTTTACGTCCTCAGCTAATGTAATTATAAACAATGTTTATAAATATTGTACACTTACACTACACTAAATTTATAAAGAATATTTTTCTTTACTTAATAATAAATTAACCTTAACTTACTGTAACATTTTTACTTTATAAAGTGTTTTATTTTTTAACTTTTTCACTCTTTTGTGACACTTAGATTAACCCATTTATGCCTAGTCTTCCACTATTGGAACGCTAAGCTTGTGGGAGTTATTTATATCCTACTGTTCAAGGTCATTGACAAGGTCTGATTTTTCACACACAAAAAAAATTTGCAGTCAGGTGTCGTGGCTCACGCCTGTAATCCCAGCACTTTGGGAGGCTGAGGCAGGCAAATCAGGAGCTCAGATCAAGACCATGCTGGCTAACATAGTGAAACCCCATCTCTACTAAAAATACAAAAAATTAGCCAGGCATGGTGACAGTGGCCTGTAGTCCCAGCTAATCCGGAGGCTGAGGGAGGAGAATTGCTTGAACCCAGGAGGCAGAGGTTGCAGTAAACCGAGATCGCGCCACTGCACGCTAGGCTGGGCAATAGAGCGAGACTCTGTCTCAAAATAAATAAATAAATAAATAAATAAATAAATAAAAATAAAAAATAAAAATTGCAACCTCAGGCATAAATGGGTTAAAAAAACAAACACATTGTACAGATGTACAAAAATATTTTCTTTCTTAATATCCTTATTATATAAGCTTTTCTCGATTTTTAATTTTTTTAAATTTTTAACTTATATTTTAACTTTTATTTTAAGTTCAGGGATACAAGTGCAGGTTTGTTACATAGGTGAACTTTTTTCATGGAGTTTGTTGTGCAGATTATGTTGTCACCCAGGTATTAGGCTTAGTACCCAACAGTTATTTTACCTGGTTCTCTGCCTCCTCTTACTCTGCACTTTCTGAAAGGCCCCAGTGTGGATTGTTCTTCTCTATGTGTCCATGTATTCTCATCATTTAGCTCCTACTTATAAGTGAGAACATGTGGCATTTGCATTTCTGTCCCTGTGTTAGTTTTCTAAGGATAACAGCCTCTAGTTCCAACCATGTCCCTACAAAGGACATTATCTCATTCTTTTTTTATGGCTGTGTAGTATTTCATGATGTATATGTAGCACATTTTCTTTGTATTCTATCATTGATGGTCATTTAGATTGATTCCATGTCTTTGCTATTGTGAACATACACTTGCATGTGTCTTTAAAACAGAATGATTTGTATCCTTTGGGTATATTCCCTAGTAATGGGATTGCTGGGTCCACTTTTTATTTTTATTTTTATGTTTTTACTTTCTAAACTGTTTTTGTTAAAAACTAAGGCACAAACACACACATTAGCCTTGGCGTGCACAGGGTCAAGATTATCAATATCATTATCTTCCACCACCAAATCTTGTCCCACTGGAAGGTCTTTAAGGCTAGTAATAGTCATGGAGCTGGCATCTATGATAACAATGACTTCTTCTGTAATACTTTCTGAATGTCCTGCCTGACACTGTTTTATAGTTAACTTAAAGAAAAATAAGTACAAGGAGTACACTCTAAAATAATAATAGAAAGTATAGTATAGTAAATATATAAACCAGTTATACAGTTGCTTATCATGATCAATTATTATGTGCTGTACATAATTGCATGTGCTATACTTTTATAGAACTGACAGTGCAGTAGGTTTGTTTGCACCAGCGTCACCACAGACGTGAGTAATGCATTGCATTGTGATGTTAAGGTGGCTACAGTGTCACTAGGTGATATAAATTTTTATCTCCTTTATAATCTTATGGGACCACCATTGTACATGCTGTCATTGACCAGAACACTGTTATGTGGCACATGGATGTACGATAGTAATATTTTACACTTTGCAATGGTTAAAGTGATCTGTTTCTACCAAACAATAAAGTCATGTTGAATAGAAAAAATATTTTACACTTCTTCCAATTTACTTGCCTATCTTAATATGAGACTTTGGAAAACTGTTTAGCAAATATGCATCTCAGTTTCCTCATATATATGTTGATGCAATAATACAATAGTGATAATATAAGATGGTTTGAAGACTGGATGCTGTATGCATTTAGAGGTCGTTACACAGTGCCTAGTATACTGCAAAATAGAATAAAGGTTAAATTCATTTCAGGTAATGAAATGCAAGAAACAACTCGGTTACCTATTTACTTTTTCTTTAACAAAGATGAATAACAGCCATTCTGACATTTAACCATTCTAACAGTTATACTGATGTTATATCAGTATAACCAGCTTCTTCCTAGATATCATTTTTTTAAAAAACTTAATTTTAGTATTTTATTTTTTCCTTGTTCTAGATCAGTTATTTGTATTGCATGTAGTTTCATTATATATTCATATATATAAAGCAAGAATGCCATTTATTAAATTAAATATGTCATCCACTACCTATGAATTTAACTTTTAAAAATGTTTTAAATTAAATAAAATGTAATAAAAATGTAACAAACTTAAATACTGACCTTGAGACATAAATATTTTTCTAGTAATCTTTATGTTATTTGGTCAACTTTTATTTTATGTTGAATAGTCTTCCAATCTGTATATAATTTTTACTTCTGAAATAAGAGCCACATGGCTAATGATGTAACAAAAAATATAGTATTGTATTTTTAATATGAATGTTTTTAGCATACATATTTTAAAAAGTTAAATGCTATCTATAATTAATAATTATAGGTATTTGTATGTAAAAAATAATACTTTTCATGAGATCATGATCTTAATTCTCTTGAGCCTTATGGTGAAAAATAGAAACTCATACATCACTCAAAAAAAAAAATCACAAATACTTCAGAGGTTAAAGTATTTGTCTTCACAATTAAAAAGGTCACTTCCCACTTTCCCTTTAGACCTAGCTAATGAATAAGGCTTCCTTCAAGAAATAGCAAACAGAAAAATATAAATATCACATGTTCTCACTTATATGTGGGAGCTAACAAAAAAATTGAACTCATGAAGATGCAGAGTAGAATGATGGTTACCTGAGGCTGGAAAAGTAGTGGAAAGGGTGCAGATAAAGAGGAAAGAATTAATGGGTACAAAAATACAGTTAGATGGAATTAGATCCAGTGTTTGGTAGCATAATAGGGGAACTACAGTTACCAATTATTTACAGTATATTTCAAAATAACTAAAAGATTGAAATGGGAATGTTCCTAACACAAATAAATGATAAACGCTTGAGGTGATGGATACCCCAGTTGTCCTAATTTAATCATTACACATGGTATGTTTGTATCAAAATATCTCATCTACCCCATAAATATAATACACCTACTATGTACCCACAAACATTTAAAAAATTAAAATTAAAAAAATCACTTGTACTTTATAAATATGTATAATTATATATACCCATACTGATTTTTTTTAACTTTTATTTTAAGTTCAGACGTACAAGTGCAGGTTTGTTACATAGGTAAACTTTTGTCATTGGGGTTTGTTGAACAGATGATTTCATCACTCAGGTATTAAACCTGATACCCATTAGTTATATTTCATTGCATTGTAGAATGGCAATCTCAGAGTACACTTTGAAATAAGGTACAAAAGAAATAAGAAGATCTAAAACTCAAATCTAGTGGAATTGTTGATGTTTTTCTTGGTCATCTTCTGATGTGTTTGTCCTAAGTAATTCAAAGTTCATGAGAAACTATACTCATTAATATGCTTACTAGTGGTTCAGAGTAGTGGTATTAGTATAAAGATAACTTTTTAAATACCTTTACTATTTCTTATCCCCCACTTAATATTTTGAGTTACCAAATTTCAAAAGAAGAATTCAAAGAAATTTTTTATTCTGTACCTTCATTTAATCCAATTCTTGGAATTAAGGTAGTTTTCTTCCAGGTTTATCTAAACCTAGTTATTCATGTATATACCTAAAAGTTTCAGCACTATCAGGTTACATTAAAGAGCAAAGGGACAACAAAATGCTCTAGCAGGCCTAAAAACAGTGATTTGACTCTCTTGAAAAGAGAACTCAAACTTCTTGAGTTCATTTTCCAGCTCAAATTTCTTTCAAAGACAATTATCTCCATTACCAATTTCTGACTGTGATCCTAATTTATCGATATTTGTGAAAGACACTGAAATATCTGTAAATGCACAATACACATTTCAGGCATACTCGCTCCATTCGATGAACTTTAAACTACTTTAAAATAACAATCTGTTCACATTTGTGTGCCTCATTATTTAGTAAGCACCACTTCCATTCATCAAGAGAGCATAGTATAAGAATACAAAAGAAAGAGGAAGAAAAAGAGGAGGAGTAGGAAGAGGCAAAGGAGGAAGATTAAGGGTTATGAGAGGAGGAGGAGAGGTGGAGGAGAAGAGGGAAAAGGGGAAGAGGAAGAGAGTATTTGGACCTCTAAAATTTAGGAGCTAGATTGAAAGAGAATGTTGAGAAAGGCAAGAAGTTAGAATCAATACTTCGGAAATCAGAGTTAAAAAGTATGTTTGTAGGGACTATATGAATAAAATATGAAAATAAGCCTCTGAAAAAAGGAACAGAAAATATGTAAATTATTTAAGGCATGTTATTTATCAGATTATTCAGACAAGTACTTTATTTTAAATGACAGTAATTTCAATAAGCTACATCTGTTAATTTTTGAGTATCATTGTTTTAAATTTCCTAATTTTAGCATAAGCATCCTAAATAGGTAAATGATGCACCAGTTTTACTTATTTATTAACAGTTATAAAGTTATTTATTTATAAGCTAAAGCTAAATCATGATACAGCTGAAGGAAAAATAGTCACTTTTAAAAGTCATGCTGTACCTTGAACATCAAATAATGTTCTAAATATGTATTATTATTAAAATGTCATAATTACTTTATAAATACAAAAATGAAATATTCTCACATTAGTATATTATATTGCATATTGTATTATCCTGAATCATAAATTAATTCATTTAATTCAACAGATAATAAATAAAGATTTCCTGTATGGTCAACATGGTGCTAGGTGCTTTGGATACGATGCTAGACATAAATATTGATGTCAATATCTAACACTCACAAGAGATAACAAATGGAGTTGCTCTTAGTGAAATTTTATTCTACTGTGGGAAGTACTTATTAATCAGTAATGACACCAACAATATTAAATTACACATCTGATAACATGTTTCTAAAAAAGGATACATGTTTTCAGTAGAGCATGTAATAGGAGTTACACCAGCCAGGGAGGTGAGAAAAAAAAAATTCCTGGACATAGAAGAAATTAAGCTAAGGCTTCATAGATCGGAAGATTTACATGGGGAAAAAAGGCAGGAAAGATAATTCCACTGAGAAAGAATAGCAAACATAAAGGACCCTGGAGAGGAGGAATAATGGTATATATCACGCTGTTGCAGTAATCTTGAAGAGGTACTGATGGTTCTGGTGCACTTTGGTGCAATTTGAGAAAGGTTTAGAAAGTGAAGAGTTTTAAAGCTTTGGTGATTTGGATATAGGCTGTGAGAGGTAAAGTAATATAAAGTATAAACTTTAGGCATCAGTTTAATTATTTGGATGGTTAACGATGCCATAAAAATTTGGGAAGAGGAAAATAAAGAACAAAAAATCTGAACAGAAATTTTTATTCCACAAAGCAAGTGTTCGAATCCAACCTCTAATCTCTTACTTAGCTGTTTTTTTTTTAAGTTTGGAACATAACTGGCATCCATAATGATGTCACAAACACTACAGATAATTGTACTGATTATACATTAACAAAAATGTTGTTGCATTATTATATGTGTCCCATTCTATTTTTTTATTCTAACTTTTTTTTGAAGTTGGGATACATCTAACACTAGATTATCAACAGTACTATTATAGTAATCCCTTCTGTAGTATTTATCTCTTTTTTTGTTTCATTTTGTTCCTGAACAGTTGTGCTTAAGTTGATGACATTATACAGCAATTGAGAACCAAGAAAATTGTTTATGCATAAACTTATTTAAATAGAGAGGAGCTGATCATAGATATCACCAATTCAATGTATTTAGATACCATTTGGAAGAAAAAATATGAACAGTAATTCCTCTATAATGTTAAAGAAAATGTGTAATTTTAAGCTACAGTTGTATCTGGAAAGGTTTAAAAAATACCCATGTGTTCACCATTATATAGTATGGGGGTATTTTTAAAATATCTTAATCACAAGAAAATACATCTATATTTTTTTCTGCTACTTGGACAATGTTCAGCTTCTTTACAAAATTTTTCGTGTAAGTAATACTTTCCCAAAGGGTAGAGATGACACAGCTTTAATCATTCTATTGTAGAGGAATTCCAATAGCCAACACTTTCTTTTTCTGTGTTCAGAGCACTTAGGACTGGATATAATTATTTTCTTCTATTTAATAAGATTGACTAGTGATCATATGGTTGTACCATGTGCAAGGCATCAATCTCACTGTTTTCCACAAATTAAGTCATTTTAATACACAGCATCCCTATTTTTATCATCCCTGCTTTACAGATAAGGGAAGTGAGGCACAGAGAAGTTAAGTAATGAATCCATTTTCATACGGCTTTAGTAACACCATTAGCAAGAGATAAGAGATAAGAAAAATTTCCTGTGTGTCCACTTTATTTCTCAAGATTCAGATTAATTCCAGTGTACACTGGTGTTTTTACAAATTCAATAATTTGAGCAACATTCTTGAGTAGATTCTCTACTTCAACAAAACATGCCCCTCTCACACCTATACTTTATCTGAACCTGTGTATGGCCTTACCACCTGTCCATCAGTGTCAGTAGAAGACTGTCCATCAGCTGATCCTTCCCCTGCATTCTCTGCAGTCTTGCCCTTCCAATGTGACTCCAGTCTCATCCACTGAACTCTCAACTGAATCCATTTTAAACAAAGAAATAAGACAAAAATAAATACACCATGAGCTTTTTATCTGCCACCTTTAGCTATCAGTCATCCAATCTTCCCTATCCCTTGAGTCACTATCTTCTGGGTTTGCATTCTTAAATTTCATCAGCCTTGGAAATTATTTCAATCTGGCTTTCCCCTTCAGTATTTAACACATGCTAAAATTGTTTGCAAATTTCATGATGTTTCACTCCTTATTTTAGTCTACCTTTCTGGAACATTTATCTTTATAGGTCATTTCTTCTTTGCTGAAAATACATTTCTACTGGACTTTTTCCTATATTCACTGTCATAATCCAGGCTGTTATTGCTACATTCTGCAATGGCTTTTTAAGTGCTCTCCTTTCCATTAAGGGCAAGCCCTCTCTTATTAGTTCTCCCCAAGCTGCCAGAAAGAGCTCTCTAAGACACATGTCTGATCACGCCTCACGTCGGGAAACCACGTGATACATTTACCATCCTTAGTGAAGAACCAAAGCAATTGTATGAAATTTTATTTTTCAAAGATGTTAGGCCAAAATATTATTTCCTACATGCTTTTATTTACAACATATTGTTGGCATTTATACACTGAGAGATGAGGTCTAATTTCACTTCCAAGAATATAGATTGGATTTAGTGACCCACATCTAACAAATAGCATGTGGCGAAATTGATGCTGCGTGACTTCTAAGGCTGGGTTAGAAAAGGCGATATCCACGATTAGAACGCAGCATCCACCTGTAGGGATTCTGATCACAGCCCCAGCTGAGGTCCCAGCCGCCAGCCAGAATCAGCTACCTAACCTGTGAGGTTTGGAACTTTTAGACGGTTCTGAGTGCTAATGCTGAATGGAGCAGAGACAAGTTGTCCCTGCCATGCCCAAATTGCAGATTTGTAGATTCATGACAAGAAATTTTTCTTGTTCTTTTAAGCCACTAGTATGTGGGTTTTTTTCCTTGCACAGCAGTAGACTATATATATATATATTCTTTTCTTTTTTAATATTTAGCCTAATCTGGCACTCTCCAGTGCATACTTAGCTCAAATTAAACTCTCTGCACTTTCTCATAGACACCATGCTTTTCCAGATCCCAAGTCTTTAAAAATTCTGTTCAGTTTTTTCTGCAATACTTCCCCACCAGCCTACATTTTTTTTTTAATTGGATGACGGACTTTGTTTAAGGCTCAATTTGTTTGTGACACTTTTTCCTAACTGGCTTCTCATAAATCCCTGTTTACAATGGAATTCCATTCTTTCTTGTACCTTTACATCAAATGTTACACATGTTTGATTAACACAAAAATGAGTGAATAATCTGTAGGTATAATCCATTGCAATTAAAATATGCAATACAACAAAAGATGAACATAAAAATGACAGAGAGAGATTTCTCCATTACCTTTCCAGAAAAAGTCGACCTTAGTAACGAACAGTAATTTCCAAATTTTAAACATGAGACGATCATAACAACAGAAGCATGGTTAGCCCTGCTATGTTTGTGTTTTTTATCCTCTGGAGAAATAGAGTCGGTTGATGATTCCATTCTGAATTGTAATCATATTATGTCAGACACCTATGAAGTAGCTGCGGCACTGTGCCAGCATTTTATTGTCACTTTCAAATTGTATTAAAAGTAAACCAGCTCCTTGAGGCTCTTTGATGTGTCAAAATGTTCTTCTCACAGATTTTAGTTATGGATACAGATCTTGCTTTGTAAACCTAATCTCTACACAGCTGTCTTTTCTGTCATTGCTTTCATTATCTCTACTCCGACTCCACTTCTACTACCTTATCGCCTCCCGCCACGCAGCTGTCTCCAATAACAGTCTTTCATGACCATTCTGCTTTCCTCTCTTTCCTATGAGTTCATACCCTCTGGGTATACCTGTAGCAAATTGTTATGCTTCCTTTAACCTTGACAGATAATTCACAGGGGTCCAGGGAAGAACCCTATGGCTCTAACATTCACAGCTGTTCTATGAATTTAAAATTAATTGACACTATGGTCCAGTGATACTTTTGTCATTTTTTTCTCATTAAAAGGGATATTGGTGTGTAATCACATTTGTATTATAGTATAGTATTTTGGGGGGTATTCACAGAAAAATTGCAAAGAGCATATAGATTTATCATTACATATAAATCCCAAATTTTTATTTTATACTGTATTTACAGAACGGTAAAAGGTAGAAGAAAGAAAAAATAAATTGTGGAGTAGAATTGTATATATTGTATAAATTGTCGAGTAGAGGTTAGATTTGTGTATAACATGACATTTTTGTTCTGAATATTTTTATATTTATTTGTAATATAAATGATTAAAGAAAATATTATATTTTAGAATATGGTTTAGTTACTTATATGATAAGTGAGAGAGTACAATTCCAAATCTGGAGTCTACAATAATTTTAAATTTAGCCACAGTTAATGTACAGCTATGAAACTTGGAGAATGTGAAAGAACCTATTGATACTATTGGATAGGTTTTATCAGCAAATACAACGAAACTGTGATTTCAAAATAAGGATTCTGTTCCTGTATCTTACATTTCTCTTTTTATTTTCATTTTGTATTTCATTCATTGGATTAGTCCAAAGTGTGGTATCCAGAGTGATCATGTCCACTCAATCAAGTAAACATATTTTTAGCATGTATTTATGCACAAATACCCTTTGTGTAAGACAAGAAAGGAGTACAGATGTTGCAGACACATTATTTTTTCTTTGATTTGAAATATCCCCTGAAATTGTTCAAGGATTCTGAAAATACTCCTGAGAATCTCTTGATACTTATAGTGTAAAATATTAATAATTAAAAATAATCCAAAATGGGAAAATGTGATTTGTTATTATTATTACTATTATTATTATTATTTTGAGATGGAGTTTAAATTCTTGTCATCCAGGCTATAGCGCAATGGTGCAATCTGGGCTCACTGCAACCTCCGCCTCCTGGGTTAAGCAATTCTCCTGCTTCAGCCTCCCAAGTAGCTGGGATTACAGGCATGCACTACCACGCCCAGCTAATTTTTGTATTATTAGTAGAGACGGGATTTTACCACCATGTTGGCCAGGCTGGTTTCGAACTCCTAACCTCAGGTGATCCACAAACCTCGGCCTCCCAAAGTGCTTGGATTACAGGCGTGAGCCACTGTACCTGGCCGAGATATTCTTGATAATAAAACGGCCTGCCTTACAAAAGGTAGGATCCTAAGTTTAAGCTTTTGGGACTTCTTGTAAATATATTGAATTTTTTATGGACCCATGGAAGATTTGTTTGTTTAAGGTTTGAGCATATGTCTGGCCACATACCTCTGTGCATTTGTTTAGAACTGGATATGTTTACATGTGACTTTTGCTCCTTATAACTATTCATTTCTATAATAAAATAGTGCACTAGACACTAAAAGACATATAGAATTTTTTATGTCACAGTACTTATGAATATGGAGAAAAGCTATAACTCAAAGTTACCAAATACTTTTCTTTTCTTTTCTTTTTTTTTGACGGAGTCTCACTCTGTCGCCCAGGCTGGAGTGCAGTGATGTGATCTCAGCTCACTGCAGCCTCTGTCTCCCAGGTTCAAGCGATTCTCCTGCCTCAGCCTCTCCTGCAGCTGGGACTACAGGCACGCGCCACCATGCCCAGTTAATTTTTGTATTTTTAGTAGAGATGGTTTTTTACCATATTGCCTAGGCTGGTCTCGAACTCCTGACCTCGTGATCCACCCACCTCAGTTTCCCAAAGTGCTGGGATTATAGGCATGAGCCACTGGGTCCAGCCCCAAATAGTTTTCTTTAATCCCATGTAAATGTGGTAGCTCAGTGTAGTCTGACGTGAAGCATGATGAAGCTTTACTAGGCTTCATTGACGTTGGAGCAACGCTGAATTAATGATTGCATGAGAAGAGAAGGGGAAGTAACTGTGTATTTACTGGATATTTGCTAACCCTAATAAGTGTATGTGATGTTTCTGACACTAGCCAGTAAATGTTTTTAAATAAGTCATGTACACTTTCTGGGCCTAATTGCTTTCCTAGGCATCTTCTAAACTGATATCAAAGGTCCGTTTAGGATTAAAATGTTTAAGTTTTAGGTACCTAAGTGTGAGTAATCCAAAACATATCTTAAAACACAATTTTAGTCCAGAATTTGTATTTACATAAGTGAGGTGATTGATATTATGAAGTTATAGAGCTTAATAACTTTATTAAATGCTTTAGAATATGAAACGTTATCCTTTTGTTTCTTCAAACAATGCCAACTTTGTTAATTGAAAATTTGACTCATTCATGAGTATCTAAAGGCTTAAGAATAGATAAGTTGACCCAAATACAGTCTTATACCTTAAAAAAAATTCTAACAACTAGATAAAAGTAACTACATCTTGAAATACTTTCATTTGAAAACCTGCCATCATAGGTCCTTATTGAGAGAATGTGTTGTAAAAGTTTTACATTTTGTGAAAAGTCTTACATTTTGTGAAGCCCTGTTGAGAATCACTTGCTAAGGAATTACGTAATTAGCCAAAATGTAGAACTTGATTTAAATAAGAACTAAATGTTGAATCTTTAGAATTTCTTTGTTTTCTTTTTCAAGATTGAGCCAAAATGATTTAAGCATTTTGTTTGTGTAATAATGCCTGGGGACTAAAATTATACTGCATTTTAAATGTATTATCATTTTCTTCAGAAATGTGAAACTTAAGTCAGTAGAATAAAGCTGAAATTTCAAAGCCTACATGTTAGAAATAATTAGTTTCTAAGAAATTTTTGGTTCTAAGATATTTGAAATTTTTGTGACTTATATGTTATCCAGATGACCTAATATTAGAGCTTGATATTATCTTTACGTGAAACATTGAATACAGTACTTTAGAATGTAAAATTACTAAGACTGGTACTATGTCTTCCTGATAAATGTGTTTTCTCCAGTGCCTTACACAGATTGTCATTAACAGCCATTTTTACTTAAATTAATTAACACTGAATTAAAATGACAGACCTAGTCAATTGGATTTCAAAAATGTAATGCTTATTCAAAATATAAAATATCCACTGTATAATTTTGTTGTAAGTTAGTTAGTAATCTAAATGGTTAGTGTAGAATTTGTATGTGAAAAGGAACATCAGGATAAACCTTCTAGTTCAACCAATACCACTATTATAATGCCACCACTTGTTACATAGTTATTCCATTGATCTCCCTCTCTGGCACCAGAGGGAAGTTGCATATTCATCATGAGTGTTCTAGGTCATAAATCTTTCTACCATTCTTATTCAAAAACAATGAATTTAAATTATATGAATAAGAGGGTAATAAAGCTGGGCAATTTCTCTGGTGTGGAGCTACTATTTATCTAAAGTCCACACACATATGCACTTGCACTTGTTAATGCATATGTGTAACTGAGGCTTGGAATAGATCTCACTGGATTTTCCCCAAAATGAAAGACTTCCTCCAATCTCAGATTATATATATATGTATGAACTACAGATTTAAATATATATGATATATGTATATCATATATATATATGAACTACAGATTTATGTATATCACATATATATTTAAGTCTGTAGTTCTTACATTCAAGGTATTAATTTTTTTAAACTCTCGTCCTTGTACAAACTGTGCCCTATCATTTGTATCTTTGATTCCACCCTATCTCTGCTATATTTAGCATCTATCGCTTACTATCAAATCAATACCAAGATTATATTTTTAAATGTTATAATTTTGCAAATTTCATTTCATAGTGTTGAAGTTCCTATTGTTCCTCCTCCTGTTGTTCCATCCTGAGGTTCTATAGACTTCCTCAAAAATAGACCTGGAATCCAAATTTTATAACACCTGCAGGTTGATGCTGCTCAAAGCCATCTTCATCTTTTATTTGAAAAATGTTCTCCCAAAGCCATCCAGCTTTTATTCTAGATCCTAAATGTTCATAATTTTTCAGTAGCCCGATTTTAAACCACAGCACATCCCCCTTCGTCTTTTCAAACACTCGAATGGCTTTTTAGCTCTCTAAAAATAAAATTTCAAATCCAAACTATAATCAATAAGGCCCTACATAGAAATTGCTCCTGCTGGGTTTCAGGCATCTTTTCCTAGCACCTCCCCTCGTGCGTGCTCTGCCGCAGTGCCCTGGCTGCTGCGCCTCCACCATATCAGCGGGCCCTGCTTCAAGGTCCCTTCACTGACTCTTCCCTCCTCCAGGAATGCTCTTTTCTAGATACCTGCGTAGTTTGTCCCTCACTTCTGCTGGGTCTATACTCAAATATTACCTATAGAGGGAGTTTCCTGAGCACCCTAAATAAATTAGCACACAACCTCTCTCTTCCTCTCTCTCTAGCTCCCCACTCCTACTTTGAATTTTTCTTTCTTTCTTTCTTTCTTTCTTTCTTTCTTTCTTTCTTTCTTTCTTTCTTTCTTTCTTTTCTTTCTTTCTTTTTCTTTCTCTCTCTCTTTCTCTTTCTTTTTCTTTTCTTTCCTTCTTTCCTTCTCTTTCTTTCTTTCCTCTCTCTTTCTCTCTCCCCTCCCTCCCTCCCTTCCTTCCCTCCCTCCTTCCTTTCTCTCTCTGTCTTTCCTTTCTTTCTCTTACTTACTCTCTCTTTCTCTCTTTCTTCTTCTTCTTCTTCTTCTTCTTTTTTTTTTTTTTTTTTTTTTTTTTTTTTTTTTTTTTTGAGGCAGAGTCTTGTTCTGTCATCCACCCTGGAGTGAAGTGGTGCAATCCTGGCTCACTGCAACCTCCGCCTCCTGGGTTCAAGCGATTATTGTGCCTCATCCTCCCTAGTAGCTGGGACTACAGGTGCACACCACCACACCCAGCTAGGCTAATTTTTGTATTTTTATGAGAGAAAGGGTTTCACCATGTTAGTCAGACTGGGCTCGAACTCCTGAACTCAGGTGATCCACCCACCTTGGCCTCCCAAAGTGTTGGGATTACAGGCGTGAGCCACTGCACCTGGCCTGCTATAGATTATTTTCTATGGTTTGTTAGCACCATCAGATATTGTATATACATATTAATTGTCTCTTCCCACTAAAGTATATGTTTCATGAGATTAGGGATGCATTTTTTTTTGCCTTTTTTGATCTCTGCTTTATTCCTAGATCCTTGGAAAGTGAATAGTACAGAAAAGGAACTCAATTTGTTGATGTCAAAGTGACTAACACAAGACTCTTTAAGATCCCAATTTAATTTATCCCTTTTAAAATAATTAAAATTTAGAAGTCATTTTTGAAATATAATAATAGGTTTTGCTGCTCACATGTGACTGGTTCTTGATAAATATGTGTTCGTTCTTGTATGAACTTAAATATTGGAAGCTGAGAATGACTATCTTCTATTGTACAGGTTAGGACACTGAGACTCTGAGGCATTAAATAATTTTTCCAAGATTACACATTGTGAGTGTCAGGATTTCGTTCCTCAAAAAAATGTTAATCAAACTTGCATTTTATTACCGTACTATGCTTCATCCTCATGCACTTTACCATTTGTCAAAAATATCATCTGATGTTAAATGTGAGATTAATAGTTTCCAAAGCATCTAATTTGCTATTTGCAGGTGATTCTATTTCCACTATGAAATTACATTGGGTTTTCTAAAATAATCTAGTCTTCAAGTTTCCGCATACCTTTTTTTGTTTATTTCCTTTCTTCTGTGTCTTTTTTCTCTCTCTACCTTTCCCCTTTCTTTTCTTTTTCCCATATCCCTCCTTTTCCTTAAGTTTGATTTCTCTTTCACATGCACCTAACTTATGATAAAATAAATATCAAAAATTATATTTACTCTTAATCTCTTCCCTTATTCTTAACATTTATTTGTTTAGTTAGGTTAGCAAATGTGGGTAACGCCATTTACATAATATTCTGTTACTTGTTGAGTAACTTTTCTTCAACAAACTGGATTTTTTTTCCATTGAAATATTCATTATGTAAATAGCTCTAAAAACTTTATGATAACTAGGACATTCACTAAACTTACATTTTCATTTCTTAGCTATTCATGGTTCCATATCAGTCCACCTAATTCAAAATACTCTTATGAGTATACTGTTTAGAAAGTTCAACAATTAATCTTTGAAAGGGGAGGATTTTGGAAAGCTTCAGTCAAGGCCCAGTCAGGAAATACAAGTTTAACAAAGACAAGTAGATCTATCAACAGAGGTCATGTAATATAGAGGATTATAAGTACTAAACATTAAAAAAAAGCGGGGATGGGGAATAAATCAGACCAATACCTGAAGCGGAAAGCATCTACAACACGAAACAAAACTGGAGAGAAAAGAAGTTGACTTTATCAAATCTAGTAGCTCAGTTGAATGGTCCTGCAGAGTTAGTAATCAGCCATCTCTGGAAGGAGTATTGCTTGGATGTGGCTTGAGTCTTTGAGAGGGCACAATAGCTTAAGGCTAGTACTGATGGATCCAAGAGGAGCGGGAGGCCAGAGCCACCTATCGCTTTCAAAGGATAATGCCTCTGCTAGAAGAAAAATTAAAAAGACATTCTATTATCCTCTTTTACCACCATCCTAAGCCCCCCAGTGCTTCCAATCTTCTGCTAGAAAGCCAGCTGGGAAAGGAGTCAAAAATTGAGGTCCACCAGTGATTTCTGGTCCTAACATTCCAGTACAGACTATGGAAAAGTGGATTTAGAGATGGGAGATTAGAATATGGACATCATTTTCTGTTCTTTTGGCAAGGCTATGTTAAGTTAAATGATCAGAATGCAAGGTATCTGAAATTTATTATTCCTGCTCCTAGCTAAAATGAGGAGTTATAATTAATAGAATGGTCTCAAATGAAAAAAACGAAAAATATAGAAGTGTCATTTTAAAATTAACAAACGCATTCATATCTGTATCTGAGAATCCAGGTATAATTAGGCAAAATGGTTTAAACATCCAGTGGTAAATATCTTAGTAAAAGCTTGAAAAATGTTATTATTATTCATATTTGAGCACCCACTATATGCTCTTTAACTCATTTTTCCTGATTAATATTTAGTGCAAATATAAGAAAATATTCACTTTCTGACTGGAGGTATGACTTCTGAGTTAGTTCAAGTGAATACAAATAAAACGTAGAATGAAGGTCAGTGTTGTTACTTTTATAGATTATTAACAGTTTAGAATAATTGTTTTAACAAATAAAGAAATATTGGCTGAAGACCTTATTACCATATCTGTCTCCATAAATGATAGTAGTAATTATAGTCAAACCTTTCCATATATGATTTAAATATTATGCAAATTTATAATGACCTTCAAAAACAAATGGGGAAATTCCAGATATTACTTCAAGAAATTAATTTCACACCTTAAGCAAAAATTCTATTATTTGTTCTTATTATAATTTAAATAAAATAAATTTGGTTGGAATTAATTCAAACAATTTATAAAGTATATGTGTATATATTTATCAATAATATTTTAATTAGTACTCATAGCCATCATGGTCAGGAAGCTGGAGTTATTTGTTTTGATAGTAGATCTTGTAATTGTTCCTATACCAAGGAATTTCAAGTAGGTCTTTATTCTTCCACTAAGATTTAGTTTTAGCTTAACAAACTGTATGAAATAGTACAGAAAATATAAGAATTACGTAAAATACACTTCAAAAACACTATTTTTTCTTTTTAAAAATAATAATTACAAACTATAGACTATAAAAAATCTGAGAAATATTTGTGTAATCTAATTCAAGAATAAAAAAACAATTTAAACATGTTTGATTGACACCATATCTTCATAGAACTGTTTTGGTCACAAGTTTTAGTTTAGCTATTAATTCTGTATGTAGACAATATTGACGGAAGTTTAACGTAGTCATATATCTGAATTTGAAGTTCTGATAAAGTATAGTAAGGTTATTTTATTAAATAGTAAATTAGAGTTTGGTTTTGAAAATACGTTATGGCCTTTGTGGGAAAAAAAGTGTATTTATATGTCATAAATATTAAAAAATAAATAGTATTTATAATAAATACATATTATCAACCTTTTAGAACAGAAGTTTTCTAAATATTGTGATCACAGCCTATAATAAGAAATAGATTTTACTTTATGTGTGCATTTTTTAAACACTTGAAGCAATATGCGTCCTTACCACATCAAAATGCTTATCTGTTCTGTGTATTCTATTGTGTTCTGTTTCCATTCTCTAGCTGTTCCTCTCCTCCATTCTTTCTCTTCTCCTCCTCCTCCTTCCTTGCCCTTCTCCTCTTCCTCTGTACTTTACTTTTCTCCTCTGTCTTCTGCTTTTTCTTCTATGTTAATTATAACTTTTCTTTGTGAAAAATAACTGCTCTCAAATTGTTAAAAATAATTACTATCCGGCCAGGTGCGGCGGTGGCTCACGCCTGTAATCCCAGCACTTTGGGAGGCTGAGGAGGGCGGATCACCTGAGGTTAGGAGTTTGAGACCAGCCTGGTCAACATGGTGAAACCCTATCTCTACTAAAAATACAAAAATTAGCCCGGCATGGTGGCAGGCGCCTGTAATCCCAGCTACTCAGGAAGCTGAGGCTGGAGAATCAGTTGAAGCTGGGAGGCAGAGGTTGCAGTGAGCCGAGATCGCACCATTGCAGTCCAGCCTAGGCGAAGGAACGAGATTCTGTCTCTAAATAAGTAAATAAAATTACTTTCAAAGTATTCTTTTGCCCGTCCTCTTCCCAAAAATGATTCAAATTTTGCTTACATTCTTCAGCAATCTTGTGGAAACTTTTTTGTGTGTTTGTTAGTTTATGGCTTTCAGGTTTAGAATTACCTCCTTTCTCGCATGCCTGGTGACCTTTAGTATTTCATTTGTACTCATATTAAAACATAAGGACATGAGAGTAGTTACACTACATTATCTTTTTCATGTTCACTTTGTGATATGAAAGCAGTATTGGTCGAAACAGTCATAATTCAGTTGTCTAAATAGAAGAATGAAGATGATCAATATCTCAGTTTTACAAATAACTATATAAGTATTAGCATTTATCATTTTCATAAGCATCTAAGTATTGCAAAAAGAATGGATACTGCTAACTCTGGAGCTAAGAGATTTCAAAATGATGTCTGAATTTCTATGAGAAAATGAATTATCTTGAAATGCACATATAACTATCTATAAAATGAGGGGAAGTAATTTGTAACAAATTCTTAGGCACATGCTACAATATTTTATACTAAGGAAGAGAATATAGTGATTATAAGAAGAAGTACCGGGAAAGATGTTTTGATATGCTGCAGAAAATATTGTAGAGGGAGCTACCTTCATATTTACTCACATTAATCCTTAGTTTTCCGTTAAAGCAAAAAGGAAATAAAAAGGTTAATAAAAAGGAAAAAAGTGTTATTCTTTTCTGTTACTCTGTTTATCTTATACCAACTAGCTCAACACCCTCTAATAATAGATTAGTTCACTACTTGATATAGTAATTTGGAAGTATAATCATGCTGGCACTTCACTGTTGCCACCTGAAATAGTATGTTTCTTTTACAGTTTAATTTCCTCAACACCGTTAAACGACAATTCCCTATAACCATGAGAGCCATAAAATGTCTCTCTATCCATCTATTTGTCTAATCTATCCACCTATCCTCTATTTAGTGTTACATCTCACTATGTATTTTTCTCCTAAAATGCAGTGAATCTTTCAATCATAATTTTAATTTTCATGTATTTTAACATTTAAATCTTAGTGTAGCAGACGTGTGAAGATACTGCTTAGCATCAAGTCTCCCTTTTTTTTTTAACAGAATTCTGATGTTATTGAATAATCTTTGCTTCCCCACAGGGCTCCATGCCTCAGTGGATGCTTATCAATACATATCTCTCAAATTAATTTGTCTCACAGTAATTATATTTCCTGGAGAACCATTGGTTCTTGAATAGGCTTATGCTCAATTTCAGTCAATTAGAATTTCTGGGGAAATTTCCCTGGAGTTTCCAGAGGAAATCTCAATGCTTCTGAAACAGAGAGTAAGCTATAGAAGTAAGCATTCCTTTCCTTTCTAGGGATAGAGATGCATTTCAGAACTATGCAGTCATCAGCCCAAGGAAGGGTCAACAGCTTTACTAATTTTCATAATTAATGTGCATCTTTCTTATAACCAGGCTGAGACAAAACCATCATATTTATTACTAGAAATTCTTATATGTCATTTAACATTTCACTGAATGATACTCTCTAAAGAGATCCCAGGAGAAAAATGTGTTTCTTTCCCTAACGTCTAGATTTAATATGTAGTTATACTGAGAAGAAATGTATTCAGAATCTTCTTTAAAGTCTAAAAGGTTGGACATTATTTGATACTTAAGCCTACTCATTATTTGGAGCTTTCCCTAAAGCCCAACCTCAAAATGGACAAGATGGCCATATACATGTGATTAAATGAAAATGTAAGTAAGAGGGCTCTTATTATTGTACTCTATAAATTTTGATTCCATTTTAAATGCATGCATTCCTCCTGGAGAACTTGGGCTTGTTATAGCCATGTTGACTTTAACATTTGCAAAAGTATTCTCAACACATGTTGGATAAAACAGTTTTTATTACCTGCCTGACCTCAGCACTGACAAGGAAAAAATCATTCCATTGCTTTTTCTTTTCTTTCCATGATCTGCCCCATTTTTAGACTTGCTCTCATAGTAAGGTCTTCCACAACTTTACTTGCTTTAGATTACAGGCTTCCTTTCAGAGCTCAAAGGCAATCTTATAGACTTTCTTTACAGTGATAATTGTAAAAATGGTAGGTAAAACTACAAGATTGTTCATTATCCATTTGAGTTCTTATCCATTTGAATTATCCATTTGAATTCTTATCAAGCACTGAAAAAAGATAGATTGACCAATACTCCAGCTGGTTCCTCCAAGAAAACTCAGTGTATTACACAAGCCCCACCAGGAAATGCCATAGAGGTGATAAATGGCAATGTTTGCCTACTGTTAAACACATGTAACATCTTGGAGAAGCTCTTCTCCGTTATAGCAGGTGTATAGCTGTGCTGTGCTGCTTAGGAGCAGAATCTATTTTAAACACTGCCTGGAGGGTTGGTCTGTTCTTGAAGCTCCTTCAGGAGTTGGCATTCAGAACAGGGTCAATCAAGAAAGATGCTGGCTCCATGCCTGAATTTTCTGTTATGTTTAGTTCAATTAGATTCAAATATACAAAACGTGCCAGTGAGAAGAGAAGGTCAATCGCTTAGAAATTATATTAGCCATAACTTGGAGGTAATTTTAGCTGTGTCTACACTACAAATACAAGAATTAAGAAGAACAATTTTATAGACCATTTGCCATCATATGGAGGAAAATACATTAGAATCCATTAAAAAATGTATGTATATTAACAAGGCCTCGTGGTGCTATGAAGTGGTACGCTCAGCATATGGCTTCCTCATCTTCTGTTCCAGAGTGATTTCTGTCTAAAATTTATATGCACCTCATGGATACAATGTTTCATAAGTTGTTTCTCTCTTAAATTTTCACAAGACAAACTGTCTTAGTCAGCTCAAGATGCTATAACAAAAGTACCATAAACTGGATAACTTATAAACAACAAACCTTTATTTCTCCTAGTTCTGGAGGCTGGGCACTGGCAAATTCAGTCTAATAAGGGCCCATTTCTCATAGATGGCACTCTCTTTCCATGTCCTTACAAGGAGGAATGGTAAGGCAGTCCTCTGGAGCCTTTGTAATAAGGACACATCACATTTGTCTGCCCTCATGATTTAATTACCTCCCAAAGGCCCAACCTGTAAAGGCCATCACCTTGAGGATTAGGATTTTAACGTATGAATTTGGGGGTACACAAACACTCAGACCAAAACACAAACTTAAGTGAAAATGAGGAATAGTTTGGGCAGATTACTTGAAAAATCAGATAGCCAGAATTTTCCTCAAAGGCAATACTGTCATGCACCACATAACAACATTGCAGTTAATGACAGACCACATCGACATCAGTGGTCCCACAAAATCATAATGGAACTGAAAAATTCGAATGTTGTAGTGTGCACATGACTCACCTGTTTGCGGTGCTGCTGGTGTAAACAAACTAACTGTGATGCCAGTCCTATAAAAGTGTTGCACGTACAATTATATACAGTACGTAATACTTAATAAGGATAATAAATGACTATGCTACTGGTTTATATATTTACTATACTATACTTTTTATTGTTATTTTAGCATGTATTCCTTCTATTATTAAAAAAAAAGAGCCATAAAACAGCCTCAAGCAGGGCCTTCAGGAGGTATTCCAGAAGAAGGTTTTGTTATTATAGGAGACAATGGCTCCATGCATATTACTGCCCCTGAAGACCTTCCAGTGGACCAAGATGTGGAGGTGAAAGGTGGTGAAATTGATTATCCTGATCTGGTGAAGGTTTAGGTTAATGTTTGTGTCTCAGTTCTTTTTGTTTTGTTTTATTTTTGAGACAGAGTCTCACTCCATAGCCCAGAGTGGCGTGCAGTGGCACCATCTCGCTCACTGCAACCTCTGCCTCGCGGGTTCAAGCAATTCTCCTGCCTCAGCCTCCCAAGTAGTTGGGAATACAGGCCTGCGCTAGAATGTCCAGCTAATTTTTTGTGTGTGTTTTTTGTATTTTTAGTAGAGATGGAGTTTCACCATGTTGGCCAGGCTGGTCTTAAACTCCTGACCTTAAGTGATCTGCCCACCTCGGCCTCCCAAAGTGCCGGGATTACAGGTGTGAGCCACCGTGCCTGGCCTTGTGTTTTAGTTCTTAATAAAAAGTTTCAAAAGTTTAAAATAAAATGAAAAACTTGAAAAATAGAAAAAGATAATAGAATAAGGACATAAAATATTCTTGTACAGCTGTATGTGTTTGTGTTTTAAGCTAAGTGTTATTGCAAAAGAGTCAAACAGTTCAAAAAATGAAAAAGTTTATAAAGTAAAAATGTTACAGTAAGCTAAGGTTAAAGAAGAAGAATATTTAGTATACATTTAGTATAGCCTAAATGTACGTTGTTTATGAAGTCCATGTGTAATGGCCTAGGCCTTCATATTCATTCGCTGCTCACACACTACTCACACAGGGCAAATTTCAGTTCTACAAGCCCCAGTCATAATAAGTGCCGCAGACAGGTATGCCATTTTTAATCTTTTCTACTGCATTTTTACGGTACCTTTTTGTATTTAGATATGTTTGGATACACAAATACTTGTCATTGTGTTACAATTGCCTACATTATTCTGTACAGCAATATGCTGCTCGTGTCTGTAACCTAGAAGCAATAGAGTACACCATATAGCCCAGGTGTGTAGTATGCTACACCGTCTAGGTTTCTGTGGTGCACACTGTGATGTTCACCCAATGAAGAAATTGCCTAACGATGAAGTTCTCAGAACATATCCCTAGTGTTAAGTGAGGCAGGACTGTATGAACTTTTCCTTATTTTTCTTTCTGCTACTCTTTTATATTATTTCCATATGTTCTTTAGACCTGCTGTTATTTAGTCTAGTGTAGTATTCTAAAATAAGAAAGATAATATCAAAATTAATGTTTACTAGAGAAGTTTATCTGAAGGAATATTATATAAGATAATTTGTTTTGTTTTGGTTTTCTGATTTTTTTTTTTTTGAAACAGTCTCTCTCTGTCACCCAGGCTGGAGTGCAGTGGCACAATTTCAGCTCACTACAACTTCCATCTCCCAAGTTCAAGCGATTCTTCCTGCTCAGCCTCCCGAATATCTGGGACTACAGGTGCCCACACCACGCCTGCCTAATTTTTTATAGTTTTGGTAGAGACAGGGTTTCACCATGTTGGCCAGGATGGTCTTGAATTCCTGACCTCTAGTGATCCCCCAGCCTTGGCCTCCCAAAGTGCTGTAATAGAGACGTGAGCCACGGTGTCTGGCCGTATAATTTGTTTTTTTAACTGATGTTATCAATCTGTTTCTGTGTACTGTATATATTATCACATGATATTCCACATTGTACTGATATATTTCGACCTAGTATACATGCTTACATTTATTTGTCCTTCACAATTTATAAGTGAGGTTTCAAGTGTCAGGAGACAAGTGAAATCAAATCACACAGCATATAAACAAGATGATGATATAAAATTCAAGTATGTGTAAATAATAAGATATTATTTCTTTACGATAGTCAAACATTATTTCATATGCTTGTAAGCTATTTTGGATGTGCCTCACTCACACACCATGAACTAACTGTATAATTCTTGTATCAGGTTTTTAATTGAATTGTGGGACTTTGTTGGTTTGTACAAACATTTGTTTAGTAAAAAAAAAAGTCCATCTGTCTTTCAAATGGAAGGAAATTATTGTATTCTAAGTTGTTTGTATTTTTAATTTATGATTTTCTGTTTTATATTGACATTTGTGTGTTTTATGGGCATCTGAGTTTAGTGAATTTCTTAGAAAAGCAAAATATAGATAAACGTAAATGGAGAGATGGATAGACAGATAAATATCTACACACACATACATACATAAATATATATATGCACATTCACATATAAAGATATATACATAGAAAATAGATATATGGATAGATATAGCTCTAAGGCAGTGTATTAGTGCATTTTCATGCTGCTGAAAAAAAAAAAAGCAAAACAAAAAAAACCCCACATACCCAAGACTGAGAAGAAAAAGATGTTTAATTGGACTTACAGGTCCACATGGCTGGGGAGGCCTCAGAATCATAGTGGGAGGTGAAAGGCACTTTTGACATGGCAGCAGTAGGAGAAAATAAGAAAGAAACAAAAGCAGAAATCCCTGATACAACCATCAGATCTTGTGAGACTTGTTCACAGTCATGAGAGTACCACAGGAAAGACTGGCCCCCATGATTCAATTACGCCCCCCTTTCCAGGTCCTTCCCACAACACGTGGGAATTCTGGGAGCTCAATTCAGGTTGAGATTTGGGTGGGGACACAGCCAAACCATATCAGGCAGTATAGGTATAACTCCCTCTGTATGTTTTGTTTTATTGTTTCATTTTTATGTTTACTATGTTGTAAGCATTATTTAACTAGATATTCAAAAAGTGATATTTAAAAAGATATTTGCAGACAAATGAGTTTGAAAGCCTATAGATTTATTTTTTTAAAAAGAGGAAAATTCAAAACTGTCATAGTATTTTTTACTTCCTTCATAATTTTTCCATGTCAGACTTTGAAAATGTACACATAAGCCCTTTGTTTTATATAAACTAATTCAAATTGATCATAATAATAAGTTAATAATAAATTGCACTATTGGGACTATGCATTGATCATTATTTCTATTAGTGGAATCCTGTCACTTGGGTGGCACGTCAAGGTGGGCAAACTGTGACTATGGGACATAAAAGTGTCAACCAATTTAGTGCCAACTAAACTTCTGTAAAATACAAGTCACATTTCTGTGTGTTGTCTTGGAATTTATAGGCCTTATCTAGTTTCCTTTGTCCAACTTTATATCATTCACTATCAAAAATATAGCCATAGCACTGATAAAATGCTGCTGTTCCTGTTGTTCAAAAATACTGTACCTTAGGAGAATCTCTCTATAAAACACCATTCTGACTCTGAAGAAATGACATTTGGTGTTTGATCACTCACATTAATATTGTTTTATTTTTATATCAAACAGTAAAGAAGCAGTAACATTGACTTACTGATGACATTTTTATTAGTAAACTGTGAGCTTGAGATGATGCTTCCAGTTTACTGGACAAAGGAGCAAACCAATAAGTTAGACTTTGTTTGAAACATTCAGGGCCTTTTACATGAGCAAGATTTCCTTTTAGCCATCCTCCATGGTACCTAAATCTCATATAAAATAGTCACATACAGAATTATACGGATACTACTTATAGTAGAAATTTAACTATATATATATATTTTTTTTGCTTGTCTATGTATCTATGATCAGTTTATTTTGGAAAAACTCAATATTGTTAATATGTCCATTCTTACTAAATTGATCTATAGATCAACGCAATTCTGATTATAGTTCCAGCAGAATTACGTTTATGAATTGACAAGTGGATTTGCAAATGTGTGTGGAAATCCAAAGGCTTTAGAATGTTGATAATAACCTTTAAAATCATTAAAAGTAATCTTTTAAAATAGCAAAGTAATAGTAAAGGTAAAGCTATAATAATCAAGACAGTATAGTGTTTGAGTGAAGACATACAAATATATCAAAAGACTAGCACACCAAGCCCAGACATAGACCGACAATTATATGGTTATTCGATTCTCTACAAAGGCACAAAAGCAATCCAATGAGAGAGAAAAAATATATATAGAAAATATATAATAAAGAAAAAATATATATATAAATATATATATATTTAAATGAGAACAGGAGAAAACTTTAGCAACTTGGGACAAAGAGTACATTTCTTAGAGAGAATGAATAAAAGAAAAAGTTTTGAAAGTTAAATTTCATCATTATTAAAAACTGCTTATAAGTGCTAAAAGTTAGACACAGAGAGAAAGAGAGAGAAGCTTTCTTCTCAACTATGATGATGAAGTATTTTTTTTCAGTGTGTTAGAATCTTCTGGAAATTAAAATAATCTTGTCTAGTACCATATTTCAATACCAAATCATTTCATTGAACAGTCAGAATTAAAGATTTGTGATATTTTCTTAATAACTACTCTTTTGACACCATTGATGTCATCCCAAAGATCGTTGCTAGATGCAATGATTCTGTGTTAATTATGCAGTTATTAGTAAGAAATACAATCATTTAAAGTAAATGTACTAAATACTTTTTATCACTTAGTTCTGAAAATTTTTATTTTAACATTATTTTTAGAAGGCATAATACTCACATGGTTTTACAACTCAAAATTACTTTCAAGCTCATCTAAGAAATACTTCAAAACAGCTTTTAAAAAAATCATATTGTTACATATCGTTCTTAGGAAAACGTTTAAAATTTTTAGGAGGGGTTTTCTATTGTTTCCAAATCCAAGAAAATTGTTTTTATATATTTATTAAGATTAAATACAAACTAAGCACACGAATAACAAATAGAAAATAAAATAGTAAATTTTCCTTTTAGTTATTTAATAGAAACTTATATATGAAATGTGATAAAACAGCATATTTCTGTGATCCTTAAGAATGTAAATGACTAATGCTTATAGATTATATTTAAGTGGCTACTATAAAAAAACCTTCATTAATATTTTAGGCAATGTATAAAATATCTTCGAAAATAGTTGTATTCTTGTTTATGCTCTTTCTTCTCCAAGAAATGTGTCTGTTTCTTCATGCACAATGTAAATTCTTTATTGCATTTCATACATAACTTTCTATGAAATAAGATTTTATTTAGTAATTACTTAGATTTTTATATAGATAATTCATTCATAATGATGGTTGATTTTATCATTGCAATTTGAGCAGTTGAGATAAAAGTTTTGTTTTCATATATGGTAAAGCTTTGGAATTCTTGCAGTTTTTGTGTTCTGTTTATTTGGAGGTCATTTTTAATATCCCATGAAGAGTATAATTTATGATTTAGAAACATGCTTTGTGTTTATACCTCTACAGGGAGGAAGAGATAAATATGCCTCATAGTTTAATAGTTTTCAATAGAAGAGTTACCTCATGAAATATGATTTTCATTTGTATCTCTTGGTACCTACTAAATAAAGAGTTATTTTGGCACTAGCATTTTTTTTACTTGCTACTTTAATGGTACCATATATCTTTTTCATTTAATTTTATTAGTAGTATTAAACATAAAATCCCCTAATGAACAGTGTGTTGAATACCCATTAAATTAGAAAGAAGGAAATAATCATTAAAATAATTAAGAAAACCATAGTTATTCTTCATAAATTCTCTGTAATCTGTGCTTAATAATATCTCACTCCACAGAGGTGGGAATAAATTTGAGCCAATATATGTGGTTTAATTCAAAATCCTTTGTCTAATTTATAAGTTATAATCCCTATTGTAAACTGGGAATTTTTCTCTTTATTGTTAAATTTTAGATAACTCTGTTGCATACTGATATAACACAAATACACATTAAAATAGAATGTAAAGAGGAACTGAAGATTAAAGTTTCATGATTGTCATAAAATAGGTTCTATTTTTTAATACAATTGCCAGTGTCATCAGAATCATTGGCATAAGAATATAGTCCTATTTCTCCATATTCTGTGCACATTGCAATTTAAGTCACAAGAATATGGCATTGTGATTTGAAAACGGTAAAATAACACCCTAATGTGACCATGTTAGTGTGACTTACTATCTGCTATTCCTTCATCTTCATCATTCGTAGGCCTGATAAACATAATAAGTTAGAATTATACCCTTTTCTTACAATAGGGTGGAGGAAGTAGAGGAGATGGGCAAATGCTTTGTAACTTCTTCCTCCATGCATCATCTTGGAGATTAAAGAATTATGGGCTGGGCAAGGTGGCTCACAACTGTAATCCCAGCACTTTGGGAGGTCAAGGCAGGCAGATCATGAGGTCAAGAGGTCGACACCATTCTGGCCAACACAGTGAAACCCCGTCTCTATTAAAAATACAAAAATTAGCTGGGCATGGTGGCGTGCACCTGTAGTCCCAACTACTCGGGAGGCTGGGGCAGGAGAATCGCTTAAACCGGGAGGTGGAGGTTGCCGTGAGTCAAGATCATGCCACTGCACTCCAGCCTGGGCAACAGAGAGAGACTCTGTCAAAAAAAAAAAAAAAAAATTATGACATCTCTTTTTTTGACAATAAATTGCAAACAAAACAAAGACTCGTTTGACATGAAGACATTTTGTTGTGAATGGCAGTGGTGAGAATATGAACAGGGCAATCTACCCAGTTCTTATGTAACACTAAGGATACCAGAAAAATAATGATATTATGTATTGTGTGGTACTGGAAAGTAGTCATAAATAAGCTTCCTTTCCCAGCTTGTCAGTAATTTTCCTTTTGTCCTTAAAACGTGCGGAATAAAAAGTAGTAGTTTGTCTCCTTTCAATTTTTCTTTTTTTGGTGAATATGTTGGGGAGTGGGCAGATGTAGGGTTGTTTGCATACACTTACTAACAAATTGAGCTTTTCATACAAAACACCTATATGCTGTTGAACTATGTATTTTTACATTTTTAAATTGCCAAATAATTGTCTCAAATCAATTTTCCTAAATCAGTATTTCTTTATAGCAGCGTAGTCCTACTCTCACTATTTATTAATAGACGTCATTTTTCACTGATTTAATAATCTTCACAGTGTCACCTGGAAAGATAAAAAAAGTAACAAGTACTTTATTACATAAAGTAATGTGTAAGTGTCTACCCTGTGTGTGTGTGTGTGTGTGTATCAATTAGAAAAGGTCACCTACTCTGGCTTCAAGACTCTGGGATTATTGACTCAAAGCACATTAAATACAGAGTATCCGGAGTGCAGGAGAAACTGCAGATGGAACATGGTATACCCTACAAGGACACGCATTTGAGATGTGGGCATGAAATTTGAGGTAAATCAAAGTTCCTAAAGAATCAAAAAATGATGGCCTAGAATCATTTGGAGAAAAGTACTCGAAAGTTTACAGGTTAAGGGGAAGTTACTTTCCTGATGTCATAAACATCATTACAATACATAATCTTTTACCAAATAACCGAATGATTGGCAATCTACCTGAAGCATTCATCTAATTTCCATGATTTGAATTTACTTTTGTGCCTTTTCAGCATTATGCCAGCAAGGCTCAAAATCTTTTTTTTTTTTTTTTTGAGACGGAGTCTTGCTCTGTCGCCCAGGCTGGAGTAACAAGGCCCCAAATCCTATGTTATTCTTAATGTCTAGTCATTTTTTTTTTGTAAAAGGCAGAAAAAATAAAGTAAATTGCATATGTACTTGATTTTAGAAGTGATATTAAGATGATTAAATAGAAGAATGGGTATAAGTATCCATCTCTACTCCAAAAGAATGATAATGAAAGGCATCATAATATAAATGATTTTGGTAGCAAGCTTAAGTACCATTACTAAAAAGGAGAAATTTCCTCACACTGACAGTGGAATATACTAAAAAAAAAAAAAGAAAAAGGATTTGTAAATTTACTGGGAGTGCATGTTGGGATAATTGCTACTAAGAATTTGACAGTGTGAAATTCTTCAAAGTATTTTAGTGGCTTTGGTTGGAGATATAGTCACTTGAAGGGAGGATATCTACTCACTTGAACAATTATAGTACCTGTAATTATTAACAACACCTTCCGAGGAGATGTAAGAGCAGGTTTATTAATATAACTATTAGAATAGGTTTTTAATGTAGTGAAACAAAAAGTGCTTCTTTGATTAATTTATTTTATCTTTAATTATGTTATGTTCATTATGGAGGCTATAATTTTAATTAGAAGAAAGAATAAATTTTTTTTAGAACATAATAAATTTGGCATTTAGAGGTGGTGACCAGCCTTCCTCTCTCATATCTGATTAAGGGATTTATGCTTTTCCAGGGCACATTCAGGCTAATTAGAATCATGCTCGTGTTTTCATTAATGAGAGCAGAACAGAATTCCTCAGTCTCATGAGAAAAATACATACTACTTGGTATCAAGCTGAATTCCTTTCTTGACTATCAGATGTCAGAAAAGTAAATGATTTATAGTATTCTTTTATAAAACATGAGTTCTTTATCTATTTACATATTTTTGTCAGAACTGAAAAGGAAAACATTTATATACAGAGGGGTAATCTGAAGTTTTTCATTAGAAACATATTTTATCCACTACTAAATGTTAACATAGTTACAAAAAAATTATGCAAAGCTTCATAGTCTTATTAAATAGCAGGGGAAAAGTAACACTTATACACACACCATGGTCTGAAATTTGTGGTAGGTGGCATATGAACATACCATATGCTGCTACGGTGTTATATTTGGCCAATGTCTTTTTCAAATATTTTGTATTTGCATCTATGTTTTATAATAATATTGCTAATTAGTAAAGCTATATTATTAATAATATTAGTAAATAATCGGTACCATTATTAATAACTAAGTGTTAATAGTACGATCTTGAATGCCTTACTGAAATTAGCTCATTTTGTCTTCATAAATATTCTAAATGTAGTTACTGATATATCCTCATTTTACAAATTTTAAAACTTACATTTGGAGAAGTGAAATCACTTATCCCAAGTTTGCAGTTATTAAATAGCAAAGCTGAAACTTGAGTAAATCCCAGCACTGTCTAAATCTGCACTGCCTATGGAAAAAGTGACAGGTGTGGAATTGTGATGAACGTGAGCTCCATCCTGATCTAAGACAATCCGAAAGCATTCACATTACATACGAAAACATTTCCAAGTGTGCCATGTCGCCACATTGGAATTACTCTGTTTCCAAATGAGGAAGGGATTCTTGTTTCAGACACAGCCTCCTGGCGCCATTATGGCCACTGAAGTGTTAAGGTTGGGAAGTGAATGCAGGCAACTGGAGGACTAGAGAATCACACACTTTCCACAGGTTTTGTTTTAATATCTTTGAAGTTTCCCAGTGTTTTGAACATATGAAAGAGAATATATTATAAATAATTGTAGAGAAGGTCTGTTGCACTGAGATGCCCTGTTTCTCATGCAAGATAATTTTCTCAAGGGATCTAAATTATACTAGCTAAGGTTTCAAGTGTAGCAGCTCTTCAAAGTTCCCACTATAAGTAATTTGTGAATTAATCAACCTTAAGAAATACTGGGGAAAGCCCTGAAAAAATCAAACAAATTATTGGCCAAATTATTTGCCAAGTGTTCAAAATTGAGTAATTATTGACATGTTTCTATCTTAAAAGACAACTTATGTGGGACTTTATTTATCTGTGAAAACTGATTTATCTGATTCAATACCCTTGGGATCTCTGAGTATCTAGTGACCCCCTTCCACTTCCTTCGTTATATATATTTTGTCTCCTTCATTATGGTAGAACACTTACCAGATGGGGATTAATACAAATTGAAGAGCACCCAGACTTCTGGACAACTCCATTCTGTGTCTGTCTAGTTCCTCCGTGATCCAGTGTCATGCAATTAGGAAGTCTTTCTATATTATCATAATTTCCCTAGTCCTGATGAATCCAGACGTGTTAACTTGTACAATTTTTCCCACGCCAAAAATTAAAATGGAATAAGAATACACGTGGTATTGCTGAAACATCATCTATGAATATTATCTTAAAAACTGGGAGTACTCTATCTTACTCTTTGTTCAAGTGGCATCCCCTCTTGTTTATACTGAGACAACATATTCCATTATATTGAGGCAACATATAACAAAAAGTGAAGAAAGAGGCCAGTTCTAAGCCGTGAAAGCACAGAGATTAAGGCCCTTTGTGGCATCCCCTGCATTCACATAATTAACCAATATACATTTATATATTATGTGCTGGATACTATGCTAAACATTTGTGATACAACAAGAAAGAAAATGTGTTCTGCATGCTGGAGAAACTCAAATGTCTTACAGTGGACACGGTGTTCATTTCCTTAAGCTGTGTAACACGTTACTACAAACTCTGTGGCATAATGGGACACCCATTTGTTATCTGACATTTCTCTTTGATTGAGCTATCAAAATATTGAAGTCAGAGCTCTAGTGAAGAATCAGCTTCCAAGCTTATTCAGGTTATCAGCAGAATTAAGCTTCTAGGGTTATAAGATCTCAGAGGTCCACATTCTCCTGCTTGCTGTCAGCTTGGAGTCTCTCTCAGATAGTACCAGGTTACTTTCTGGTTCTTCCCCCCACCATCCATATTTAAGCCAGTGGCATCCCCTCTTGTTTCAAATCTTTGACTTGCTCATCTGCCCCCAACTAGAGAAAACACTGTTTTTATAGGGTGCATTAAATTAAATTAGGACTACCAGGATAATCTCCCTATTTATGATCAACCATAACCTTAATTACATCTGCAAAAATTCCTTTGCTGTCATCCAAGGGGGAGGGTCATTGGGATCATCTTAGGATTCTGCCTCCCACAAACGCAGACAGGATACCGAGAATAGAGAGGTCCGCCCTTGCAGAGTATATCTTTACACTTGTATTTCATGCTGCTCTACTCAGTTGTGAAAACTCTTGAACTTCTACATAAATGTTAAAAAAAAGAAAAGGGAAGACTGTGGGAAAGTAGCTAAAGGGGGCGTCTAGCTTCTTTTTTCCAAACTGAAGGTCATGAATATTCTATGTCTGATGTTGTTATTCCATATTCTGTTTCATGTTATACTCCTGATCCCCAGATGTTTAGTTTTTGTTGTTGCTGCTGTTGTTGTTGTTGTTATTGTTAGAGGCCAACCACTGTGCATTTAATGTTAACATTATAAATGATTCACTTTCCCTTTGGGAATTTTCCAGAAAGTTTTCTTAAATCTTTAATCAAGTGAGTGTATAGGTGCCTTAACTGGGATTGCCCAGAGAAAAAGGCCCAACTTTTATGGTTGGCCTGATTCTTAAGGTGAATCTGTTGTTTTTCACATGGACCCTAAATTCAAGCCTTCCCAAGATCACTGCAATTCACATATCATAACCAAAGCATGCCAAATAGACACTTTCTTTTCTCTAGGTAATTTAGAAGAGTAAAAATAAGAGGAGAAAGAAAAGGTTATCCATTTATCTACAAAAATGTTTCATCAATAAACGTTTCTCTGAAAAACAGTAGGATTGTCTTAAAATTTTCAAAATAAAAAATATTCAAAGCTTGTGGCAAAGTTCTAACCATTTTTTGTGATTTTTAATGTCATTTCAGTTGTATTAGCAATAATTGCTGACATTGTCTTCAATTCATCATTTATCCAGGGAGACTATGAAAGCCTGGAAAACTGGGAAGCACAAAATGACTTATCTCCCTTTATATCTGAATACAAAACATTTTTCCAAAGCTTACATATTTAGGTCCAATTCTTTCTGAGGAAAACACATGTTAATGAGCTATGCTATTGTATATTTATAACGTTAGCATCCTTTCTACATCATTCTAAGAAAATATAGTCAATAAAATTGTCACAAAGTCATCATTGTCTGGGAATGTCACAGACAGAGGGTGCAACCGAATCGTTATGGTAAAGATTTCAGCTATCTGAGTGGCTTTGGTCGATTTTTGGAAAAGCTATGAGATATATTATGGCATTATTTCAACCCACAAATTTTAGCTATGGAGAAAAAAATAAATATAAATCAATTTTACTGTGAGTCATGAGAAAGTTCTTTTTGAAAGGGTTTGCATTTGACAGGTTTTTAACTGAAATAAACACATTAATGTATATAAAGTTTAGAGATACACTTTTGGGAAAATATTTTATACTTTTTTTAATATATAATATGTTATTTTATGAATAAAATATTTTAAGTTTGTTATAATAATTTTTATGTGTAAATCAAAACTCGTGTAAGTTTTTTATACACAAAATGCAACTTAATTGAGGAAAAGAGATGTACTATTCAACTAATCACTGTTAAATTAAATTGATATTGCCGACAACTGACTCAAGTCAGTACTGCTATAGTTCAGAGTTGATAAATTGTGGCCCATAGGTCAAATATGACTATCTGCCTGTTTTTATATGACTCACAAAGAAAGATGTTACATATTTCAATGGCTACATTTTTAAAAACTACATACGTACCTACATAGTATCCTCAATTCTGCCTTTTTTGCCTCAAATTCTAAAACATTTTCACCTTGCCCTTTAAAACTAAAGTTTGTCAACATCTACAACAAAAGAACAGAACAATGGGGGATCAGTTTATCGTTTTTAAAATTATTATCCAAGTGACCTCATGCAGGATGCACCTGATTCTTTTCTGCCTGAGGTCAGAATTTGTGTTTGTTCATATCATAATTTATGTTAGCCTCAATTTGTCAGTAAAATGGACATAATATGATTTTGCTCACCTTAAGTACTACTTCCATTCTCAAAGGAAATAATGTGTGCAAAATCTCTTTGAAAAGTACATAACAGTATAAAAAGAACATGTTATGGAATCAGAGTGCCTGTAGGGTTTGACTTCAAAGAGCAGGATCTAGAAGAGTTGCTGGTTTTCTGTTCCAGATAAGGCACTTCCTAACACTTAATTTACGGAAAGTTGCCCTAAGATAATTAAGGTTACTCTACCTAGAAAACTTTCAATTACTCACTTGTGTGCAAGAATTGAGGCTCTGCTGAGTAGCTGTTGGCAGGATCCCTGTGTTCCCAATTATTTCCTACCTGCCTCTCTTCTGGAAATCTGCCTCTATTGCTCAGTGACAGTGATACATTTTCTGATAATGCCTGGTTTCTTCTAGAATGTCTTTCTTATGGGATTAACCTTCTTTGTGGCTCAATTGCCCTGATAATACTCAACCCTGACCATGCTCTATTCGTTGGGCACCATGTTGTTTATCACCAGGATACTGTCTCGCGGCCCAGCTTTCATAGGTACAGCAGCTTTTCACAGTCCTCTCCTACACTAATGATGCTGCCTTCTTCTGACTTAATCTGCTCCCCAATATTCTGAGAACGCTGAGGAGCAACTGCATGGAGGCTTAGGTGGGCCAATCCTACTCTAGATTAGAACAGATCTCCTGTCATAAGAATGCCTCAAGTCCTGTATGCATTTTGTAAATCTCACTTGCATAACAGCAACAGTGGGGATGTCTAATGTAAAACTTAACCATAAAATCTTTTTACTGAATGTTCCCATCATCGATTAGGTCACTGACTTAATGGTGCAGCCCCTTCCTAGGCTTGCATCATCTGTGAACCAAACCAGCAAAAATTCCTAATAAGGCTGACCCTTTTAGACTAAATCAAACACATCTTTTTCTTAGACTGTGATCAACCTGTTTTTTCTTGATGTCTTCTATATGCGCAAGAGATTATGCCAGCTCTCATTATAGAGCAACTTGACAGACACCTTGACTTCAGTCAGCTTCAGGACTCATTTGCGTCCATGAGTCATTCATGCTTGCTACCAAACTGCAGACCTGCTTAGCATTAAGGATTAATCCCCAAAACATCAGAACTTTAACACATGTGTTGCTTTGAAGCAGCCTATTTCCCTAACTCTTCTAAAATACACTGAACTAAAAGATTCTGAGGGCAGTCTTTATAGAGACCCTTAGCTAAGACGTCCACTTAATAATGATATGTAAACCTTCAATTCAGAACAGCTTGAATTTTTCTCTCAAGTTGCTCCTTTAAAAGCAATTCAAGTTCATCAGAAAAAAAAACATATTAAATATAAGTATTGGAAATGAAACAAAAGTTTGCACTGTAATAATTCTTGAATAATTAGAACTACTTCAGATTAGTTACAAAAGGGTTACTCTTGTTCTTATTGGAATTTTTATGCATTTAAATTATTACTAACTCATCTTGCTTTAGAGTGAGTTTCTTAATTATCTAATTTTTTTCTTAATTAAAGCTAGTAAAAGTAGAGTATAGCAACTTAGTTTTACCACAATCCATCATCCTACAACCAACTGAAAGTATGTTTGTCCTGTCATTAATATAATAAATTGTATGCTTTAATTATAAATGAAGATATAAATTATGAAATATTAATTTTGTCAAGAAATGTTTATTAATAATATATGATTTTGATATTTTCATGTCCATAAGAGTTTAGAATATATAAAAAATAAAATGACAATTTTAGAAAAGAAAAAAATAACTCATTCTTTAAGTGAAAAAGAGTACAAATTCAGTGAGATTGAAAAGCATTAATTAAATTGAAAAGTTGGCTTGTCATTATAAAATATGGCAACATAAAAAGGCACCTCAAACTGACTAGTGTTTTCTGCCAGAAATCAAGAACCTAATTCGTGGTCTTTAGAGAAGAAAAATAATTCCATGAGATAAAGATAAATGGTCCTTGGTTTGTAGCTCCTTGGAGAGAACTTTACTAAATGAAAATAGTTCCGGTGTGGTAAATTGTGATAGCTTTTCATATTCCTAAGCAGAGCAGAAGCATCTGGAAATCTAATTCCCCAAAGAGTTTTTTCTGTGCTGCTTTTAAACAGAATAGTAAAATGATGAAGCAGATAAACACCTGTTATTTATAGAAAGCCAATACTTTGTTCAATAGGGCATTATACCATTTGCTCAGCTAATATTTACTAAGTGACTATTTTATATCCAGTACTTACATTAAGCATTGTAAGAGCCATCAAATAGTATAGGTCCTTGTACTTAAACACATATTGGAGTTTGGGAAGAAGTCAGGCAAGCTTCAGAAATAAAAACTGAGACACTGAAAAATTATATTCTGATAACAATTAAAGTAAAAAGACCAGCTTTCATCTTTGAAATTGTAGGAAATCACTTTACAGGCAGATCAAGGAGAATTTTGAATTATATACAACAAATTTACATTTTTATCCAATAAGCAACTGGGGACTATTGAAGTTTCTTTTGATCAAATGAGTGACATATCAATTATTAAAGCTTTATAATAAATAATATATCTTTAGATGTTGTTTTTGACCACTATCAATAGGACATGGGGGATGGGGGTAGCAGCTGCTGGAATCAATTTAAGATGTTATTGGCCAGCTAACCTCCTTGTGAATTCTGCAATAAAATAATATCAACATTTTATATTACTAGCGGGAGCATGAAAGCAGCCCAAGTTCATAAATCTAGCAGATTCTACAAGACTAAATTCTCAAGGTGAGTGCCATTAAGTCACTTAGAGTCAAAGCAAAATAAAACACCATGTGATAAAGATATTGTGGATACATTTCAAAAAAGAAGAAAGAAATCAGTTTTTATCTTTATCATTTATACAACACTGACACATTTACAGATAGAATAATATAATGTCTAGGACCTGCTTCAAAATTATCTAAGGGAAGGTCAGTGGACAAAGTGAGAGAATACAGACGAACCACATTGGCCAAGAATAGCTAAATGATGAAGTTGGGTGACAAGAACATATGTGTCTATTAATACTGTTTCCTCTAGTTTTCGTATTTGAAATTTTGTAATAAAGTTTTGAATAAGCAGATTAAAAGCTAAACAAAATAAAATAATCCTTTTGTCTATTTCTACTACAAAGCCCAGCGTGAATGCCAGATTCAATCCCTTTAATAAAAAGACCCTCTAAATACATCGAACAGTAAAAAACAGATCATTCAAAAGCATGGGAGGCACTTTGCCCAGTAGTAAAATATGTATATGTGTGTGTGTCTGTGTGTGTCTGTGTGTGTGTGTGTGTATTTGATGAAGGTATCTTCTCAGAGCCATAACTCTACACAGTAGATGACCTGTTTCTCTCTGGGATTGGAATCAGTTTTCTTGGTTTGTACCCATTTTGATAGAAAGGATGAAGTGGGAATGAGTATATAGCTCGTGTCACTAGTCAACCCTAAGGCATTGGTACTGCACTATTTCTGTTCATGCAACCACCAATGACATTTGAAATTCATCTGTGAGAGAATCAGTATGCACCTTGAATGAAGTCAGGTATCTTTTTAATTCACAATATTTAAACCTCAATTTTATGTAGCTATCTAAATTTTATCCTCCTCTTCCTTTGTATATATAAACATATATACAAAGCAGAAAAGCATTGGAATTAGAAGAGATAAATTAAAGAAAAATTATCCCTTTCTCAAGCTTACACTTCTTATAAACAAGGAAGAAATGACCACTCAACCACCAAAATAACAATGCCAATCAAGAAAAAAAAATTTAGTTTCTCATGATGAATAATCTTCCTTTAAAAATGTATATATAAACAGGCTTATGTTGGGATGTAATCTACTTTTTTATAAAAATAATGTGAAAATTTATATGTCAAAAATATATTTCTAAAACATGATAGATGCATTCATTTATGGGACTTTCATATTTATGTCTAATCAATAAAATGCATTAGTGTTTTCAGTATCTCACTATTATAAATAATGATGCAATGCACAATATTTTCTCAATAACATCTGTAGAATCACCCAATTTATGCAATTTATGTACATGCACACACACATACGCATGTACAAACACTTGCCATTGTATTACAAATGTCAATGTTGCTCTCCTGAGATATAGCACTGTATATGTCCATCAGCACTTTGTTATTATATTTTTAACATTCCTTCTAAAAACATATGGTATCATTTTTTACCTTTTTAGTAGAAACATCCTTACGGATTCATGATGTAGACAATGGTGATATACATTAAGCCTGCATCCAATTGGACATAATCATTACAATTTAAACAAAGTTTTATTTGGGGGTATACATAGTTTATATGTTGTTCATTTTAACTAAAAATTATAGCTGGTATAATTATAGCTGGTAGCTCATTTGTGAGTTATCTTCTTAGTGTGTATCTACTAACTCATTTAATCTTACTACTCCATCTGCACTAATTCATTTCATACTATTTTATCACCTTTTTTCATCTGAGAAAACTCAAGCAAATGTGAAGCAACGAGCCCAAGGATTCATAATTGCTCTTTGCTGGTGTGTCATTGCAATCCTAGGCAGTGAACTACCCAAATCTCTGATATTTTTACCATTATTTTACCATTACTACAAAAACTGAAATCTATATATTTGATGTACAGAAGGTAGTAAAGGTGTTATTTCAGACTGCTCACCAACAGTCTGATATATGTTAAAACTCTGTATTACTGCAGAGAGTTTAAATTATTTTAATAAGGGAAATAAAGTCAGCAAGGCAGATAGCAGTCACCTATTCCTTATGATGTGGCAGCAAATTATTGACTTTTGCTGAGAGTGAAAAAGAGCAAGTTGACATGAGAGGAAACTGGGTATTACAGTCAGTATAACTGAGAGGAGAATGAAATATGGTATTCAGAGGTTAATAGAGTCACCATGAAATCCAAAGAAAAAGTTTGATTTCGTAAATAAGTAAATAATAAGAGGAAGATCCGTTTAGAGCCACTCTGTAACAATATGATCTTTATGATGTTATAGAAGGTATTTTCATCTTCATGCCTGTCAAATGCATTTAGAGGTTGAGAAAGCCCCATAATTTCTCGTAATTTATTGTCACCTGCGGTGTCATAGATGCTGAAGATAGGCTAGAGTAATATTTCCATACACATTATGGAGAAGCTAAGAACAAATGGACAATGATATATGTATGTCAAAAGGTAATTAAGCATTTCACAGCCATCATTGTTTGATTTGAAATGGCACCTTATTTCCCTATATAAAATTTTACTGAACTATTATCTGGATAGATACTAGGACATTAAGTTTAAAGTTGTCTTAAAATATGATTGAATGGGAAATGCTGTATACAATTTAAGAAACGGTTAGAAATATAAAGTAGGTGATTTTATTCCATCTTCGATGCGGTTTCTTTAGAAAATAGAAATCAGAATTAAAGGCATATAGATTGTTATTATGGACATAATCTGTTATTAATCATTTAATTGTGATTCTGTTTTATTAAAGAAGAAATGAGGAAGATGTGAGGGTTTTGTGCAACTTTATTGAGGTATAATTTATATACAGTAAACTGCACATATTTAACTTGCAAATTAGATGGGTTTTGACACATATATACACCTGTGAAGCCACCATCATAATCAAGACACTGAATATTTCCATTGTCCCAAGGGTTTTCTTGTGACCTCTGCAATTTCTCATTCCAACTTCATTCACCTCCAACCAGTTACCTGTTTTCTGTCATTACAGATAAATTTCCATATTTTTTAATTCTACAGAAATGTAATTATATATTAGTAATGTATTTGTTTCTGGCTTGTTTTATATCAGCATAATCATTTTGTGGTCCAGTTGTTAAGTGTACTAGTAGTTGCCTACTTTTAATTACCAAGAAGTATTCCATTCTATGAGTGTACCACAGTTTATTCACTCACCTGTTGACGGACTTTTTTTTCCCCAGTTTGGAGCCATTGTGACTAATCAGTCATTTGTGTCTAGTTGTTTGAATGGAAATATGCTTTTTTTTCTTTGGAGTGAATACTTCAGAGCGAGATGGCTGCATCACACGATAGGCATACGTTTAACTTTTTAAAAAACTACCACAATGTATTTTAGAGTGATTGCATCCTTTTATATTCCCATGAACAGTGTTTTAGGGTTATAGGTTTTTCACATCATTGTTGACACTTGACGTAATGAGAGTTTTTTTTCTTTTTGATTTTAACTATTCTAATAGGTATTTAGTGGTAGAAATAACTTGTTAAATAATTAAATATATAGTTAAATAGTTATGAATTAATAAGAAAATCTAAGTCAGAATTTTCATCATCTAAAATTTTTTAGTGAACAGGAAATTCATTTGATACTAGTTGTCCCATTAGTGCTTGCAGATCTTTCCACATTCCACTCTACCCTACCACTGCTTTTCTGACTCTCCAAAAGGGTAAACCTATCTACTCAGTAAGGAAATAAACATTTTTTTTCTATTGAGCAATATTATTCATTAATATTATTTTATATGTCCATTTGTTTAATGGCATTTTAAAATCATTGCTAAAAATGTGTTTTGTTTGGGTTTTATATGTATAACTCTAGTCATTACTAATTTTTAGTATCTTTTAGTGAATTCAATAGAAAGTGAGTTTAATATTCTTAAAGTTTTACATATTATTTATCTAATTTTACTTGAACTTCATAGTCATACCTCAAAGATACAAAATAGAATAAATCAGAGCTAACAAGAAAGGTCTAAAATGCAAAGCAATTATGTCTACAAAAGCCATTTCTTTTCTTTTAATTATGCACTCTGCTTTTTTGTTATTTTAAAATAATTGTCTACTAAATTGGAAATGTGCTTTTAAAAACACAAAATATGTTAATATTATGTGTCCATTCTTTAAGTATGCTCTCCAATTTTAAGATAATTCTCAATCATTTTAATTAAGTTACCTTTACATTAATTTTACTGATCAGGACAATAGAGAGGATGGCTAACATCCATTCTAGTTGCAATAAAATAACCATGACCTTTTAAAGAAACGTGTTATAATTATTTTAAAACATTTAAAGAATATTCCTGACCTTAGCAATTTTTTAATCTACTCCATTTACAATTTCACATCAATAATTTCTGGCTGATTTTTTAATTACTCGAACTATGAAATCAACACATCCTTGCTATAATGTTATTTATAGTATAAAATAAGTTGTTTGGGGCATGGAAGGGTGTGAGAAGGGAGAAAACATGTATTTGCAGACAATAATTCCTTCTTAATTGCTTGATTATTTCTGAATTAGGTAGAAAGAACATCACAAATTATTAGGCAAATAGATGCATTTTCATAACTGACTGAAATCCTAGAGATAATATAGTTTAATTTCCTCAAATTTTCCAATGAAATTATTAAATAGAAGCTTTTTAAATGGCTTCGGTTAGAAAACTACTCACTGCTAGAATTTTGACTATAGTCTAAGTTTTCTGATATCCAGTTTAGCTTTCTTTTTTTTCTAAAATTTCATCTTATCTTAAACTCATGAGTATATGTGCGTGAAACCGGAATCAAAAATAAAAATTTCTCTTGAAGGCTGGTGAGTTTAGTCATTCAGCCTCCATGATTTAGACATAAGCAGAAATATGTATAATACATGAGAATCTGTTAGCATTCAGCAAACCTCTGTGTGATAGTATTAGCTTGATGCTGCTGCTGCAAGATCAATTTGTTATTAGTTAGGTGGCTTGTTTATGTATATGTATTTATAGATCCATTTAAAATAATTAACAGTAATTTTTCAAGGTCTGTTCTGATAAACCATCACAAACAGTGGTAGGGAGGTAATAGCTGAATCTACATTGGTATACAGAAGCAAGATTCTATTTGTGTAAGAATCATAAGACTAATATTTGGGAAATATCTTCATATATCCCCAATTTAAATAATAATAGCCAAGATCAGGAAAAGTCTGTAGGAAATCTAAGGGTTGCTATTCCAGTATACATAAATCACAAGTTCCCTGTCAGCTCAGAGTAATTTTTTCTTCAATAAATCACAATCACAATTTACACTGTTTGGAACAAACCTAAGTAAATGAAGAAAGACTGACTTCTGTTTATATAGCCACTTAAGATCCTTTTTGACAACAAGATGACTCAGATAAACATATTTGTTCGACATAGTGGGGAGCAATAGGACTTACGTAAAAAGGAAGACATTAGGTTTTCCACTATCAAACACCAAAGGACAATCACTTGCTCTTTTTATTCCTCATCACTAACATATGAGAAAAATACTTATGGTAACCTATTTCACAAGATTCCCATAAGAATCAAATGAGAGAATAAGTTCTTGGCAAAGTTTAAATGTTGCATTAGTTTGCGTTATCATCATTTATTTCATTAAACTTCTTGAAAGAGTGTGGTCACAATGCTTCTCTGTAAAGTTATGGATGTGTCTGAGAATTTCAAAGAGCCATATGAAATGATAGGATTCATGTGACTTTTAAGAAACCTGTAGATAAAGCATGAACAAATCAGAGATAAACTTTAGCTCCCTAGTACATTTGAGCTTTGCTATTACATTATGCCACTTGGAGAACTAGGTTAGTAAAAATCATCATAATTTTGGTCTAATATATTTTTATGGCTGTTCTTGAGATATTCGTTTACTTAGAGTGGAGCTATTTTCTTGTTTTAAAAAAGCAATAATTATTATATTTGAGTGGGAGAGCAAATGAATTGCAGAAGGGATTTTTAAAAATTTGAAATTGAGTCATTTGTGCTAATGGAATTATATATTTGGAAGCTCTGGATGGAATCTATTTTTTAGCCTAAAGTTTTTTTTGTGAATTTTTTTTCTGCTAAATCATACATAACTTTTAATAGCAGAACTGTTACAATAGTTTATCAGTTATAAAATGGTTTTTAAAGATGTGAAAATGATTTTTGTTAATCATAAAATCTAGAAAATGTTCCCATTCTGTTGGAAGTAAGGGTTTTGATCAGTTTTAACATTTGGGAATTTCCAAATATTTGCTAATTTTATAGTTACAGTAACCTGACTTTTAGTGGTGGGTTTCTTCTGTACTGACTACGCAACATTGGTAAATTTGCTTAACTTCTCAGAGCCCTAACTTAATTAATTAAAAAATAAAATATTATAATGTCTGCTTAATAGAATTGGACTAAGGGGTTCATGGATAGCTATAGCTGAAGTGCATGCCAGTCACTTACTACATAGCAAGCATGTAATAGACAGTACCTGTTATTTTCATGTGACTACGGTCTCCCCTCACACCTCCAACAAAATGGTCTTATTTTGCTTTGTTCTTCATGTGTGTACTTTCACATAAAATCAATTAGTGTTCCAACATAGGTTAAAAAAACTACTGAAGAGTCATCATACTCTCTATAGAAACCATTCAGGGTTTTGAAAGACCTCTGGATTTTATGAGAACAGAAAGGCTGGTTATTTGGAAATGTCATCAGGGCAGTCTCATGGAGTTGGAGTTTCCAGATAGAACCCATCTACTATGGCACAAAGTTTCGTGTGCACCTGTTTTAGTTGGTGATGATGATTGTGGGTTGGCTGGCAGGGTTCAGGAAAATAAGCCCTGTCTTAACGTTTTAATAAGTTTTAAAAATAGTTCACGATTTAAGATCCTCAGAATGGGACTTAGACCAATACGAGAAACGGAGTGCTTTAATTGCATGACCAACTACACATTAGAGCCCTGGAATCTATCCCACTGTTATTTACAAGTATTGTGTTAAAGACTAGTTGGAACCCTCTCAGGAGAAATTAGCAGTTACATTTTCTTATTTTTACAATTTATGCTCAAGGTGCATTTACTTCGATGTAAGCAGCCTCTTTTCTACTATAACACTCTCATGCCAATCTAAAATTGGATAATGGGTTTCCTGCTTTACAGCAGCAAAAATTGTTCTCCCTCTCCTGAAGTGGTTGACTGGGTTTCTTCACATTCGGCTGTCACCCTCCACCAGCTGAGGGAGCAAGAGACCTCTGCATGGGAGGCTACAGCCCCATCTCCTGGGGCTTCTGCAGGGCCGTCTCCGTTTTCAGAGTAGGATGAGTACCTGCCTTAGTAACAGCAATTCAGTTACCCTGAAGTTTTACTTTGTCCAAAAAGTTTCACCAAGAGCTTGTATTTTAATGAGATACTTTAAAAATATATTTGGGAATGTATAAGGCAAACGGATTCTCTATTATTTATACTTAGTGCATTCGCCTACTGAAATTTGAGGGTTTTCTAAGATATATATAAATATCACAATGTAAATATAGCTTCTCGCTCTTCCTCTCTCTCTTTCTCACACACACACGCAAGCACACGCACCCACACACACACGCACACACACATCAAAGAAATGCCATATGTCCCAAGTGAGACCCACTGGAAAAAAACAAAAGTGCTGAACATATCACTCAGGATCATTGTGAGAGGACAGTCGTCAGCTTTCTCTCTGGCAATGAGAATTTTCTCACCCTCAAGACATGCAAATTACTTTTTTCATCTGTTCTTTTTATGTTATTTGCATAATTTTATCCTGCAAAAGTGAGAGCTGTCAAAAATTAACCATTTGGGGCTTTGGCATTCAGTTATGTGACCTTTTCCAGAGAGTTAGATCTCTTCAGGGAACTAGGAACTTGATGAGGAAGTGCTGAGAAGGTGGTCAGTGGCAGAAAGAGCGGATGACGGATGGGGACCAGCAGGTTGGTAACGGCACATAGCTACGTTTAAAAAGTTGTTAGATATTTTCGATCCTCTCATATGCTTGCTTGTTTTTGTTTTAGGAAATCAGTATTTCAACAGATAATCAAAGAGATGATTCGGTTAGGTGTAGTGCTGTATTCTCCTACATTACTCTGGTTAAGGGTACAATGCAAACATTTTTTGCAAGTGTAATGCTAATTGAAAATGCCGTTTGGAAAACTACACAAGCAAGGCTGTGTTCATGCCGTGGTTTGAGTGCTTGTGTCTGTAGCAATCTGCCAAATATGCTTATTTAGTATGAATACTTCCTTTTTATAAATTCAGAGAGTTGCACTCTGGAGGGCTGTAATAAACCTTTAAATTCATTTTAGTTCGACAAAGGTTGAAGTATGTAGCAGGCGAGCGGCAGAGACAAGTGCAGCTATCTCTTTGATCACATCGCTTTAAACATTTTTCAGCTTTAAGCTTGTCTTACAAATCAGCTCTATCAGTCTATTAATTGCTTCACTGTACCTAATATCTTACACGAAGGCACCTTGAAAAACAGCAGGAGAAAGCACATTTGTTTAAGTCCTGCGATGGCTAGCACGGCAGCTAATCTCCTTGCAAATCATAATCATAGTTGTAGTTCATCCATTAGGCTGGAAAAGACAAGATTCCCAAGTGGCCTTGGTGCCTTTTCCAGTTCCCGGGAGACCCACCAACCCTCGGCGTGTGTTGCCTGCGCACCCGGAGCGTTCTTGCTAATCAGGTCAATGATTAACGCCTGGCTCCAGGGACCTGCCAAGAGTGTTAGGGAGCCTCCAAACGGAGCACGCTCACGGAGAATCTCCCGTTCAGAAACATCGCTTAGTCCTCATTTACTCACTGGGAACCTCGGAGGATTTCAGCTGATGTTTTTCTCTCCTTAGACAGTGAGGAGCTCAACATAACAGGGAAAAGGAGCACAGGATGCAGCTACTTGGAGGGTGTTGATTGAAAACTTCGATCTCCCCACCCCATTCACGGTTGATTTGACGGATTTCTCACCTCGTTCACAGAGAAAATTTCAATTAAGGTAAGTGCTGCTTTATCCGGGTGACTGCATGGCACTGAATTTCTGCATTGAAAGTTCTAACTGACTAAACTGACATTCTGCACTGCAGCAAGTGACTGTGTCAGGAAAAGCTTAATTTATAAGCAAGTTTCCTGGAGTGAAAACGGCGTTGGAGATAATGATATCTCAGGGCAATTTCTTCTGAAATACATTCATTCTGCCTTGTATCCAGAGAAAATAAAAGGGAACATGAAAAGATAGTTAATTTCTCATTTTACCTTTTTAATAATCTATTTGGAGGGTTGTGCATTGCCAAGGTAAATTGGTTTTGATTGAAGTGATTTGTTGATGTCATATAGTAAAATCTGAGTCTGAAAACTTCAAAGTTAAATCAGATGGAAAGAAAATTTGCAAATGCGAGTTGAGATTTTGTGCAGCTTTCTACATTAGCAATATTCCTGAGCTCCCTTTTGGTTTAAGGATTTAGGACTAAATCCCTGAATATTTTAATAGTATCCATTTGGAACTTAAAACTTAAATGTTATAGTTTCTGATGCAAGTATTAAGAAAAATGAAACTAGAAGACTTATTGTACCATTCATATAATTTATAGTACTTATTCAACAGAAGTGGATTTCTTTTATGACATGAATAAAAAAAGAAAGCAAAGGAAAATTAAGTGCTTTCTAAAATGCTTGTTTTTGAAAGAATTCTTCAATAAGAGATTACGTGTTTGTAAAAAAATCTTTTTTATGTTTTATTTCATTTTTATTATTAAGATATAATGAATTGAAGTGAAGCTTACATTTCCTATATCATTTAGGGCAATTATCCAGGTAATTCAGATTAAACCATTCCATATTAATTCTTTTTTACCCATTTTCTTGTAAGCTTGTTAAAAATATCTAGAAAGGTATTGTAAGCAACTTTTTTCCAAAGTTTAATTACCTGAACTTTTTCTTTTCTACCTTACTAAGCGCATGTAAATATAGCCTGATTGTTTTACTCCATATTATGATAAATTTTTATGTAATTAAGAGTAATTAAATAATTATATCACTATAATTATGTGATCTATCAGTCTGCAGGCTAAATACTGAAGAATAGCAATCACTTACCTTGATATTGTATGACATAAAAGTTTTCAAATAATGAAATAAACATTATTTAAAATATCACGTATAATACTGAAACAGGTTGATTTTTAACAATTAATTTCTATTGTTAAAGCAAAATGTAAATATCTAGCTGCTTTTGTATAAAGATTTATAATGGTATCTCAAGTGTGCTTTTCAGAGTGAGCACTCGTATTTCCTGAAGTGCTGACTTCCCTTTTCTTCTATGGATCTCTTGAGATGGGACATTTTATAAAGATGTCAGAACACTTTCTAATAATTGGCTATCATTCTGAAATTCTCTGGAGAGCTTTTCAGGCTGATGTCGATGTTAGTGCTTCTTCCAGAGGAGTAAACTATTTTCAAGGTTCCCAAAGGCTGATGTGTACTTGGCTACCAGTATGTTTGTAGCTAAAACCTGAAGACTTTTATCTACTTCTCTTGTTCTGAGACTTCTATCTCTTTTCCCTGGGGAGATGATTTCTCAATAGAATTAAAGATAATTGAGAGAAGAATGTGTTGACTACAGTGGCTGTCCCTGGGTCTTTGGCTTCTTATTTTTTTTTTTTTAAGCAACTTGATAAACAGAAAGAGGCAACATTAACCAAACAGGGACACACACTTGCTACTAGCGAACTTGCATGTCGCTGAAAACATCTCTATCCTTGTGCCAACTTCAGAATTGATGGTGGCATCAGACCCAATGAACTTTTTTGTTGGATGTATTGACCACTGAAGTGTCTGACCAGAGTACGTCCATTGAAGGTTGCGTTTACTCTCTAATGAAATATCTATGTTTAAAAATTGAGGGAATTGTAGTTCTCATTCAAAAAACAACAAATCCCCAATACACATGTTTACTTATATAACAAACAACCATACGTACCCCTGAACTTAAAATACAAATTTAATTTAAAAAATTAAAAATGCAATTGCTTAAAGGAGTTTTACCATTGTCATAGTTGTCTGAATTTGCAATATACTGATAAGAGGATAAAGAAAATCTTGGGTTCAACTGAAAATTAGTAACAGTTTATTTTACTTAGCATCTGCCTCCTTAATCTATATTGAATTCCATTTTTCATTTGATTGAGGGTAGTTTATTTCTTCTGTAAGATGGGAAAACATCTCATAGGATAACCTCACTTAGAGTAGGAAGTCTCAAAATTTAAATAAAATAATCTTTTAAAACTTTGCAAAACTTGCTTCAAGTTCTTCTATAACTTGCTCCTCAATAAGTAATATGTTCAATAAAAGACACTAGAGATAGGCAGTATCTAATCTAGCTCACATGCTTCCTCAACTCAGATAGCTGAGTTATAAACTTTTTATATATGAATAAATGATAAATATAAAAACATATGAAAGTTGAAATGTTAACATGGATGTTATTTGCCCTCATTTTCCAGAAGGAAAGCTGGAATCTGAGAGAGCATATGTAACTGGGCCAAGGGCACACAGTAATGAACCTATAACTCAAATTCAGATCTGGCTGTGTTTAAAACTCATACACTCTATACTATACCTTTTTGTTACCTCATATATGGTGACTGTTTCCAGCCCTTGACATGATACTCATGAATATTGTAAGACTATTTTTAAGATAGTACAGAGTAATCATATTACCTTCAGAACAGGTGAACTCTTGTTTACACAAAATAAGTGATTTTGTAAATTCCATCACCACCAGTATTGGAAACCAGCATGTACTTTGTTCTTTTAGTTTCTGAAAGAGGTTAGTGTGCAAGTCTTTGCTTCCAGCTAATTCTGATTACTACTGACAGAAAAAACACTCTACTGTAAGCAAAGTCTCTACTGAAATTTAGTATTTGTAACATATACATCTTTCCAAGAGAGGTTGACACACTCTCAGGATAAAATAAAATAAAATGTAGAGGTATAAATTCAGTGTTAATTGTATTGAAATGCGATTAAAAGGAAGTTAAGGGGAACTCACGTTAATAGTGAAAGATATTCACAATATTAGAAAAGGTAGAGAAACTAACTGTTGGAATTGAATGTTGGAAGTAGACTTCAGAAAAAACAGACTTACATATTCAGCAGCCTATTTGCTATGCTGACTTTACATAAACTTTCCCATATGTCCACAGAGGTTTAGTGTAGCTAATCATGTTGATATTGTGGTAATATTTTTCAATTAATATTTGATCTAATCCTGTGACAAGAAGGGAGGGATGTTATAAGATTAGAGGTGACCTGGAAAATTTAATATGATTAGCTGTCATATCCAAGGATGTGCTAAGATGGTAACTAGAAGTTAGGTTGTATGGTTATAAAATATGATAATTTATTGTGTTCCAACATGTTCCCAAATCTGGAAAGAGATGACATTGTACCAGATACTGTAAATAACAGGTTCCACAATGACTACAAATATGATCAAGGCATATATGTGTATAATCTCCAACAACCAACCAGCGTACTTTCAATTCTCTAGGTTGTTGGAAAACGGTTGGCTTATCCTAATTGTGTATAAGAATAACAGAAAACACAAAGTATATGTACACATTACCTCCTGTATTACTATTCCAAAAGAATGAATATGATCTATAAAGGACAATATTGTAGAAGAGCTTGTAATGGTAACAGTTCACAATGCATAGGTGTTTCCACCAAGAAAATATAACCATGTGTCTAGGCTCTACTGGCCGCAGTAGATTTGATGAGAAATGAATGTGCCAAGGTCTAAGACAGCCCTCTCTAGACTGGCCAATGACCACCATGTGGCCTTCCAGGAGAACCATGCCAATAAAAATGTTCTGTGTGAAATAACAAATATTTGACTTGGTTATCTTAAATTTGAAATGCCATGTGGAGCCTCAGCAGTTAGTGGCCAGGAAAAGAAGTTGAGAAACGTAAAAAGGACAGTCTGTGGAAATCATGAATAAGCTGCAGTAATGAGGCCAGTAGAAAAGAAAGAAAAGAGGTTAATTGCCTTAGGTCAGTAAGAACAGATACATTTTCTAAATTACCCTAATAGCTAAGCACAAGAAGAAAAGAGTGCTTCTCAGAGGAAGTACTGTGTTATCCTGGGTTGATATCCCGTATCGTATTCCAGGCATACCATGCAGTGGTGAGACTTCCCCATTTTTCACATTCACATTTTTCTCTGTAGTTTTAGTCCTGTTAATCCATTCAAATTGAGCACATCTATTTCCCTTACAAATGAAAATATTACAACTAACTCAGTATCTTACATGTTCATAGTTCTGGTAGACAATGGATAGGGCAGTAATGTTTAGTGGCTGTACGTGTTCTAGGTTCAACCACCTGGTTCAAATCCAGCTGAGGGCATTTTCTAGCTCTGTGGCCTTGGACAAGTCAGTTAAGGTGTCTAAACTTTGTTTATATGTTATTGAAAATTGAGCCAATCACAGTACCTATCCTATTGTAGTGTTCTGAGAAATAAAGGAGGGAATTGATATATCCACAATTGCTCAGGTCCTCAGAAAATGATAGTTGTTATTATAAATAGGGAACCTTATTATTAGCTGTCACCTTACCTGTAAAGTAGCAAAAATTAGAGATCTTTTTTCTCCTTAGCAACAATGAACACGTGGATCTTGCAAAACTTCCAGGAACAATTTCATAACACTGTGTTTATATAAGTACATTTTGAATTTTGGGGCATACTATTTTTGGGGGTCCTGTTGGATTTACACAGATGAAGTGGATGTTTCTTAAAAGAATGTAACTTAGGAGCCATTTTAGAGAAACCATTCTATTTGTCATGAGGACTAAATTAGCAACTGAATTCTTTACTTTGACTCTTTCTTACGTACATTGAAAGGAATTGAACAAGTCTTGAAAAAGAAGTTCCATTTGACCACTGGTAGTCAACAATCTAACTTGGTATTACAGGGGCCAGAAAAATAGCCCGTGATTTGTTTTTGTAAATAGAGTTTGGTTGGAATACAGCCACAGCTATACATTTCCATCTTGTCAATGGCTGATTGCAAGCCACAAAGCCAGAGTTGAATAGTAGAACAGAAAAAGATTGTAGAGCCTGCAAAGCTAAAAATATTGGCTATTTTGTCTTTCACAGAAAAAGTTTGCTGACTGCTTATTTAGAAGAGAAACATTCATCTTGCATGATTTTTTTATTATCAGCATAATGAATATTTGGTAGAATTTTTTTTTCTTTTTTTTTTCTTTTTTTTTTTTTTGAGACAGTCTTGCTCTGTCGCCCAGGCTGGAGTGCAGTGGCGCAATCTCAGCTCACTGCAAGCTCTGCCTCCCAGGTTCACGCCATTCTCCTGCCTTAGCCTCCCGAGTAGCTGGGACTACAGGCGCCTGCCACCATGACCGGCTAATTTTTTTTTTTTGTATTTTTAGTAGAGACAGGGTTTCACCATGTTAGCCAGGATGGTCTGGATCTCCTGACCTCGTGATCCATCCACCTCCGCCTCCCAAAGTGCTGGGATTACAGGTGTGAGCCAATACGCCGGACCGTGGTAGAATATTTTTAAATCTCTTGAAGATAACTATCTAAATGTCTGTCTCTGGAGAGACTCAGTATTTTTATTTCCTCACACTCACTAATTCATCCATATTTTTCTATGGTATTTAAAACCTCTAATTATAAATTTTGACAAAGTTATCAACTACCAGTGTATATATGCAAAAGTATTCCATTGCATACTTTGCATATTGATTCAAATAATAAACATAGAGAAACTCTTTTTTTTTTTTTTTTTTTTTTTGCAGTGGAATCCATTATTTTTCATCCTCCAAGCCACACCTTATATTTTGGTACATATAGGAATCAACTGCTATGTGACTTAAATAAAGAAGTAGATTCCTGGGTCTCATTCCTGGAGTGCTGATTTCACAAGTCAAACCTTAGTGGGTTTAGTAGGTCAAAACTTTGGTAGATTTCTTTCAGCTGTAGAAAAGAAACCAGGAACCACAGTTTGAGACATATACAGTTGATTCTGACAAAAACGAATATATAAGAATGTGGCCTAATTATTGGGATTTAAAAAAAAATTTCCCAGGTAACTCTATTATGTAGCCCCAGTTGGACACTGCTGCTGTAGACCAGCAACTCTCAAACCTTAAGAACAGGCACGCAAGTTATCTGGGGATCTTTTTTAGAGGTTTTAGAGTGTGGCTCAAGATTCTGCATTTCTGACAACCTGCCAGAGAGGTTGATGCTACTGGTGATGAGAAATGCTGCTCTCATATCACCACTGCCCCCTACTCTGCCCCATGGCTGCCATGGGTGGACTAGTGTCTACTGGAGGACGTTTCACAGGATGAGACTCACTGCCTAGCTCACCTGAATCAGATGTTGATCAACCTTCTTGAGAAGCTTTTCCCATCTCAGGAAGGTGATGAAAAATTCTGAACCAGGTCAAAATTGAGAAATATGTATATTATATTTAATATATAATATAAAATTTTGTGTGTATATTTAATCTATTGTTGATTTCTACATAACCATTTTGGACATAGAATAGTTGGATGTCTTAGAAAGCAAAATATTTAGGTAAGTATCGCTGACATATTTAATTCCTTGCAATTAAGAGGGACAGGGTGTTCATTGCTTCTCCAGTCTCCCTTCCCAATATCTAGAAGTTTTTGTATATAGCATTGCCCAAGATAACTCCATACTGAAGTTCAAAACTTATCAGAAAATGCTGACTTCTCTGGTAACATCTCAGTTCTCTTTATTCTAGCAATGTAGCCTTAAGACTTTCTTATTTGTCAGTTCAACTTTCTTCTCTCCCAAAACTGAATTGCAAGGATATTGATTTCATCTCTCTTCTTTATTTAAACTTTTCTCCCTTTCTAATCTCAACTGCCATATTTCTTTCTTATTGCTAAAATCTATAAACAATAGAGGGAAATATATTTCATTAATATAGATATAAATTTTGGATAATTTATATTACCATCATTGTGATAATATAAATTAAAAATTACAAACCTGCCCCTATAATTTCCTATTACTCTTCTCTATTATTTTCTTCTGTAATGTTTAAAATCTTATCAACCATATTCTTTTAAATTTATTTGATTATTGTTTTTCTCCCCTCTCCCCATTATTAGAATGTGAGCTCTATGAAGGCAGGCTTTTTGTTTCTTTTATTCAAAGCTGCAACTCAGTACCTAAGATAGTGTCTGTTACAGAGTTTATCCTCAGAAAATATTGTTGACCAAGATTGAGTGAATATTCCAAATTAATTTCTGTGGCTGTTGTATCAGAATTGAGGCAATTGCTTTTGCTTTTGTTGTTAACGTTTTAACACATTATAAAATCTTAATGTGTAAGATTCAACCATATTTGTTCATTGACATTTGTCCATTGAATTTACTCAGTAACTATTGTGTACCTCTTAAGTGTTAGGTGCTGTGCTAGATGCTAGGGATACATGTTGACAAGGCCTAGTTCCTATGCATAATATGCTCAGCCTGATGGTGGGAGAGGGGAACTAAAGAACGAGTAGTCACAATGCTTGTGGTCTGCCATCATGGAACATATGTACAGACTGCTGTCAATGCACAAAAAATAGCTCCTGACTTAAACAGAGAGGCCAAGAGGAATTCCCTTATCTGTAAATTAAAGAATAGCTTGAATTTAGACAGACAGGAAAAGAGAGACCATTAGCTCCTAATGGAAATCACCCTATGTGCTAAAGCACAGAGATATGTTGGGTGCATTCCTGACACCCTCCAGCACCACATTAGTTTGATAGAACATGACAATGGAGTGGTGAATGTGTAAAAAAGAGCAGCTTCATTGATGCCTGTGTAAGAGGTGCGAACTTTAACCCAGGAATAATGAGAACTCATTAAAGAATTTTCAGAAGGGCAAGCTAGATTTATTGCTGCTCTAGTCTGAATTTTACATTGTATTTTTTACTACTTCAAATAGAAATACATGTTATCAGCTACTTAAAAAAATACATGTGAATTGGGCTGGGCGCGGTGGCTCACGCCTGTAATCCCAGCACTTCGGGAGGCCGAGGCGGGCGGATCATGAGGTCAGGAGATCAAGACCATCCTGGCTAACACGGTGAAACCCCCGTCTCTACTAAAAATACAAAAAACTAACCGGGCGTGGTGACGGGTGCCTGTAGTCCCAGCTACTCGGGAGGCTGAGGCAGGAGAATGGCGTGAACCCCGAGGCGGAGCTGAGATCGCACCACTGCACGCCAGCCTGGGCGACAGAGGGAGACTCCGTCTCAAAAAAACAAAAAACAAAAAAAAAAAAACAAACAAAACAAAACAAAAACACGTGAATTCTATGTTTCTATTTGATTGAGTTGTTTGAGTTCCTTATAGATTCTGGATATTAACCCCTTGTCAGATGCATAGTTTATAGATATGTTCTCCCATTCTGTAAGTTGTCTCTTTGCGCTGTGGATTGTTTCCTTTGCTATGAATAATCTTTTTATTTTGATGTAATCCCATTTATCTATTTTTGCTTCTAAACCTGTGTGTTTGAGTTCTTATCCCACAATCCGAATAGAATTTCTCAAAAGGGGGACATACAATGGCCAACAGGAACATGAAAAAATGCTCAACATCACTAATCTTCAGGGTAATGTAAATTACAAACACAGTGAGATATCATCTCACCTCAGTTAGAATGGCTATTATCAAAAAAGCAAAAAGTAACAAGTGCTGGCAAGGATGTGGAGAAAAGGGAATTCATATTGCTGTTGGTGAGAATGTAAACTAGTACAGTCATTATAGGCAAGAGTAGGAAGGTTTCTCAAAATATTAAAAATAGAACTACCATATGATCCCAAAATGCCATTGCTGGGTCTGTATCCAAAGGAAATAACATCAGTATGTCAAAGAGATGTCTGCACTCCCATATTTATTGCAGCACTATGTACAACAGCCAAGATATGGCATCAACCTAAGTGTCCATCAGCAGATGAGTGGACAAGGAAAATGTGGTATATATACACAGTAGAATACTATTCAGCCATAAAATAGAATGAGATTCTGTAATTTGTAGCAACTTGGATGAGCCTGGAGGACAGTATGTTAAGTGAAATAAGCCAGACACAGAATGACAAATACCTCATGATTGCACTCAAATGCGGTATCTGAAAAAGATGATCCCATAGAAGTAGAGAGTAGATTAGAGGTTAGCAGAGGCTGTGGCGGGGGGAGGGAAAAAGATGTATAGAAAGAAATTGGTCAAAGTTACAGTTAGATAGGAGAAATAAGTTCTAGTATTCCATTGCACAGCATGGTGACTATAGTTAATATAACATATATTTCAAAATAGCTACAAGAGAAAATTTTGAATGCTCTCACCACAAACAAATGATAAATTTCTGAAATGATGGATATGCTAATTGCCCTAACTTGATTATTACACATCGTATACCTATGTTGAAACATCACACTCTTTCCCATAATTATGCACAATTATTATGTGTCAATTAAAAAATAAATTTTAAAAAATTTAAAAAGACACATGAAAAACAAAAATATGTATACTATAGGAGAAAATAAGTTTTAGTGGAGTTGAAGGGAGAGAAAGTCACTTACCTAAATGCTGTGCCAAGAATATATGAAAGTTCACGTGTAGAGCTTTGAACCAAATAAAGTTGAATGAGCATAAATTTGGCAAAGTTATAAATCCATAGGTGATTTTCAGGGGTTCTGTATTGCAGGATTAGATGAATGAATGTATTTCAGTTTCAGAGTTCAGGAAAAGTGAAGAATATGGATGGCCATATCTGCTAGTACTGACGTGGACAAGTGTTCACATCCTCCCACCTCCTGACTGCGACCTAACAAAAAAGGCCACTTTTTTGCCTCTACTCTTGCTGGATAATCAAAGTCAAACTGAGCTATTTAAATTTAACACCACTGACATTCTTAGAAGGAGAACTTCTGAGCTTTTTATTTCAGAGATAGAACACTAAGGGTTAACTCTGGCAAAAACTCTGACCCTTTTGTGCAGAGCTTGTTGTCGCTAATATTAGCTGAAACTAATTTTTCAGTTTTCTCTTACCATTCTACCTAAAATATCACCCACCCTATCTCTTTCTCCTTATTGTTCATCTCAAATTTACTGTGTCTTACCTGCTGATGGTTGCTCCAATGGGACTGTAAGCTCTGTGAAGATGAGAACCTTGCTTTGTTTACTGCTGCAGGCTCATCACCTAGATCAGTGTCTGTCACAGAGGTAGTAACTATATGTTGAAAGAAGGAAGGAAGGAAGGAAGGAAGGAAGGAAGGGAGGAAGGAAGGAAGGAAGGAAAGTAGGGAGGGAGGGAGGAAAAGAGAGGGAGGGAGGGGCAGAGGGAGGGAGATATCAGTGCATTCCCTAATCTCGCCTCAAAACCTTTTCTATGTCTTCTCTCTTTACCGTCTCAGTAAGTGGCACTCTAATCCACCCAATGTGTCAAGTTAGGAATCCAGCAAACATCTTTGCCTTCCCACTTCTGACTTCCCACAGATCCAATTAACATGTGGTCCTTTCAATCCTGCCTTCTAACTTTCTCTCCCCTGGCTTTCCATCATTGTTTCCCCACAGTTCTTATCACCTTCATCTGTCACTTGCCTTATGGCCGCGTTACCATATTCCTTTTCTACACAAGATAATGCCATATACTGACAGAAAATTGATATCTCTGAATACAAGCTTGCCCTATTACCCCCATGTTAAGGCTTCTCTTGTAGTTTCCCTGCTTTTTAAAGACATAATTAAAACCCCCACTGGACACCCATTTTTTTGTATATATTTAAGGGGTACAAGTACAATTTTGTTATATGCAATATATATTGCATAGGGTGAAGTCTGGCATTTTAGTGTATCCATCACTCAAATAATATACATTGTACCCATTAAGTTATTTATCCTCCCTCACACTTTTCCATCCCCCAAGCTCTGAGTCTTCAGTGTGTATCATTTCATAATCTATGTTCATTTGTACACATTATTTAGTGCCTACTTATAAGTGAGAACATGCGGTATTTGTCTGTTTCTGAGTTATTTCACGTAAGATAATGGCCTCCAGTTCTATCCATGTTGCCACAAAAGACATGATTTAATTCTTGTTTATGTGTGAATAGTATTCCGTTTTGTATATACACCACATTTCTTTATCCAGTCATTTTGTGATGGATTGATTCCGTATCTTGGATATCTTAAGATATGGAAACTTAGGTTGATTCCACATCTTTATATGGTGAATATGGCTGCATCCATTTCAATGTGAGGTTTGGATGCTGCATCATATCTGCTTTTTCCTAATCTCAAGCAGTCTATGACCCAGCCATGGTTGCTATCATTTGGTTCCTATGTCTGAGATTTCATGTTTGCTGTCTGTCACAGTAAGTTGACTTTTTGTCTGACTAGATCTATTGTCCTTCAGAACTCAAGATACATTTCATACAAGTGTTTTTTGGCCCCTACAAGTGGAGTGCAAATGTTTCTTCTATCAGTTTCCATAGCACACTCTATGTCCCTTATAATCCAATCACAGAACTCATTACATCATTGAATAATGCCACACTTCAAACTCTTTGATGGCAGGTTCTATGCCTGTGTCATTCACTACTATATTCCCAGTGACAGGCACTTATGTGCCCAAATGCTTTGTAAAAAGAATAGTTAGTGATCTTCTTCAAATTAAAAATATAGTTATTTATTCATAAGCCAATGCTTCTTCCTTCTACTTGGGCAATTAAATTCATGACATTCTGAAAAGAATTTTGCTTCCCTACGTCCCCTTGATGAAATGTCAGAGAACACAAAGTATAGTAACAATTAGATTAGTTCAAAACACTTATCATGGTAGTAACCACTGAAATCTGTTTAATGCATTTCCAACATCATATCCACCTTATGGATGATGTAGATATCTTGTACTTTAATGAACAGTGGAAATTGTTCACACACGTTTGGTAAAGGTCACCTATTTTCAATCAGCTCTTTTCTATGTAATAACTGGGTGACATTTCTCATCCATTTGTGATCAATGAACATGCATATTTTAACTCACACGTCAATTTTCTTCAAAAGCACCACTCTTATAGCTTTGTATTTCATAACTGGATGATATTTAGTATAGGGGAGCTACACTAATTCCTATTCTCCGGCTTTTTGATCTTCAGAGAAGTGTAATTGGTAGAACAAACAACTGAAATTGGCTATGTTGTACTTGATAATCAGTAGTCAAAAAGCACATCCTGAAGAGATACACTTTGATCTCTTGTGTTTGAGAAATAATTACACTGTTATATTTAATATTACAATAATTAAATGATATTTTATTATTTGTCCTTTATATGAAGTGAGGTAAAATACTCTAAAAATCAATATAGAGTAAACAACAGCAATAATTCTGGAAAGTATTTCTCTCACAGATATTTAGAAGCAATCTTCCCTGGAACCATAATCCTCAAAAGGAAATTGCAATCCTTGCAGAAACACAGTTTGGGTCATCTGGGTCCAGGTCTCTGTATTTTTCTAAAAGCCTTCACAAGGCACAAGTGACATTTTAAATAGCTTGTCAGGAAAAGAAGTGATTTCTAATGCAGATCCACCAAATAAAATGTTTTTTGTCAGTGCCCCTAAAGGCAAACATCTGAAAGGCAGAGAGAAAAAGAATGCAAAGAAAAATGTTGTGACTAGTGTCCAAGGGGGAACATAATAGAAAAATAATAGAGACATATCTCTTGTCAAACAAAAAGTAAACAGGTTTAATATCCCACAATTCTACATCTACTGAGAAGTATAATTAAACATCAGGAATGTTTTTCTCTATGGGATGCTAAGCCATTTTGTTCTTGAGAATATTTTAGGGAAAAAGAGCAGGTCCAATTATGCTCTGATCTGCAGGCATGAAAAGAGGAACTCAGCCCAGAGGTAAGCAGCGGGGAATGAAAACAGTTAACACAAAAATTTAGTTAAAGCGATGAATGCTTCACACTGATTCTTTTAACAAAGTTAAAGCTTGTTGTGTGATAGTGTTTACATTACCCTTGGTCTTAAACAACATATGAACTTAGGAAGCTACCAGCCATCTCCCACCCTCACGCCTCTCCTGGTCTTTTCTAGTCTAGTTTTTACAGACTCCTGAGTTATCTAACCCTCATGACTAAGTAGCCACACATGTATCAACATAGAGTCTCTTCGTTGTCTTTGGTTTTGTTTGTGTGTCTATTGTATTAGTGTCCTATTCAAGAAGTTTGGTGATCTTATTTTGAAAAGAACCAGTAAAGTTAAAATGTGTTGCTTCCCCAAGTGGTTTGTTCCATATTTGGAGGAATCTGAGTAAGCATTTCCTTGTTTTAAGAATTCTGTACTCGCAGGTGCAGAGCTGGGTGCTCTGGCACTTTCTCTATTATCAGAATTCAAGTTCATGTGCCTCTCCAATTTCCCCTTTTGAACACATTGTAGTTTGAGGTTATTGAAAGACCATTCACTCTCTCTATCTCTCTAGTGACCCATACTAAGTACAAAAAATAGGCCGAATTTTCCTATCTGCTTTTTTTACTAAATAAATAAATAAATAAATAAAAATAAAAAATGTCGGGTTTGTTAAACATTTCAAAATCTTGAGGATTGGTAAAGAGGGTGATTCTGCTTGTGTTATATTTATTGAAATGTTTCATAGGTTTTGCATTCCGAAAGGAAAATTCAGAATTGATAGCATTTTTGTCCACATAAAGCCATTACCAATGAAAGTGTAAGATGCATTCAAATACCTGCCTTGAGTTTTGTGCATAAATCACTTACTAGATAGAGCAGAATTGTTGAAGTCATGTAGGAATAGAAAGTAGAGTTTTCATAGGTCCTGGAGTTACTCATCTCAATCTGACAACAGCATAACTACTTATACAAATAGAGCAAATTTAACATTCCAGTTGCTAGGTATCTTTTAAACAGCAGAAATAGTTTTGTAGACATTAAGTTCCTTAGGCATTTGTTACGATTCCTACATAAAAATGAAAATATTGAAGAGTGTCAGAAATGCCTGTTTCTAACATTGTCAGATAACATAACTATCATGTATGTAACATATTTATACGATATGCTTATTTGGTGTGTAAAATAAATCTGAAGCATTTTTTTAACATTATTAGTTATTACATAAAATGCAAGTAGAATAAAAGTGTTATTGCATTATTCATTTAGCCAACACTATCAGTACGTTTTTGGGGTGACTGACAGAAGTACAAAAGAGAGACTACTGAAGTGCTAGAAATGAACACCCTGACACAGATGGTAATTACATAGAGACATTCACCCAGACGCACACTATGATATTTTAGTAATGAAAAAAGTTATTCTGCATGGTTTGCTAAGAACTTTGTTGTAATTATAAGTAAATTATCTTTTTATTCTTTTAAATATGATTAAGAATAATATTGTTGTGAATAAAATCATACTTATTTTACTGTTATTTTTATCATAATGAATGTTGTCCCACCAATTTGCAAGTGAAGAGCACCATGTAAAGCCTTTTATAACTTTCAAATTGATTTCACACTCATACATAAGAAAAGAAAAAAATAAGAAAGGTTTAAGGATTTTCTGCAAGAAGCATACAAATTTATAAATTAGAAAAATTCATACTTTTTGAGAGACTTTATAAATATTAACAGTAATGATTTTGTGTTTGAGATCATCTTGGGAGACATTGAGCCAGAAATAAAGTAATTGCCCCAAACTTTTTATGGTATAGATGTATTTTAGGAACAAGTGATAATAACATCATAGTTTCAGATTAGGAAAATGCAATAAGGAGTCCTTACCAATAACTGATCTTCACAAAAAGCAATGAAAGCTAATTTAGAATAAAACAGAAGAGCTGACTAATCAGAAAAGAAACAATGCTGCTTAAAGCTGCTTCTCTTTAAAAGCATCTCACTGATACTCTCTGGCAAAATCTACCTTGCCAATATTCTTTCCATTCTTTTTTGTTTATTTATGTATTTATTTATTTATTTTGAGACGGTGTCTCGCTCTGTTGCCCAGGCTGGAGTGCAGTGGCGGACTCTTGGCTCACTGCAAGCTCGCCTCCCGGGTTCACACCATTCTCCTGCCTCAGCCTCCCAAGTAGCTGGGACTACAGGCACCTGCCACCACGCCCAGCTAATTTTTTTTTTGTATTTTTAGTAGAGACAGGGTTTCACTGTGTTAGCCAGGATGGACTCGATCTCCTGACCTCATGATCCTCCCCCTTTGGCCTCCCAAAGTGCTGGGATTACAGGCATGAGCCGCTGCACCCGGCTATTCTTTCCATTCTTTAAGTTGAGGTATTGAAGGCCCCTGTGTTAGAAATGCAACAAACAGTTTCTTATTAATGAAAATCTTATCATAAACTATTTTTTAACTCTTATTTTAAGTTCAGGGGTAGAAGTGCAGGTTTATGTAGGTAAACTTGTATCATGAGAGTTTGCTGTACAGATTGTTTCATCACCCAGATATTAAGCCTAACACCCATCAATTATTTTTCATGATCTACTTTTTTGTCTGATTGAGGATTAAGAAATTCGACTGACCCACTCTGAATCCCTTTCCTTGGGGAAAAGAAGCAAGATCTATCGCATGAAATAATTAAAGGGAGAGAATACCCAACAAGGAGCTACAGTGATGTCCCAAAGCCACAAGAACTTTAGGCTGAGATTGAAAGGAGAACACAGGCAACAAGGAGAAGTAGGACAATAGAGCCCTCCGGGTGCCTGAGGACACCTCAGAAGTTGTTTGAGTCCTGATGCACATGTTAGAATAAATGTCTCTAGTCCCCTTGCAGATATCCTTTTTTGATGAGAGCAAATGAGGGACTTTTGAAGCTGTGTAAAGCCTTCTACCTACTTGAGGTCAACTCAGCGTAGGCAGTTTCTCACTGTATATGTGGCTTGTTTATAGGATGTCACCTGGAATGGAGTGCATGAGAAAGCAGGAGAGAAAATTCTAATGATCTCTGTAAAATGAATAAAAGATTACATACAGGCCAGGCACAGTGGCTCATGCCTGTAATCCCAGCACTTTGGGAGGCCGAGGTGGGCAGATCATGAGGTCGAGAGATCGAGACCATCCTGGCCAACATGGTGAAACCCCATCTCCACTAAATATACAAACATTAGCTGGATGGGGTAGTGCGTGCCTGTATTCCCAGCCACGCAGGAGACTGAGGCAAGAGAATCGCCTAAACCCGGGATTCGGAAGTTGCAGTGAGCCGAGATCATGCCACTGCACTCAAGCCTGGCGACAGAGCAAGACTCTGTCAAAAAAAAAAAAAAAAAATTACATGCAGATAGAATAGACAGAGATATACACACATATGCACACACACCCACATACATACACACTGTAATATACACACACTATTTCTACCAAAACTTCTGTAATATAGGATAGAGAAATGAAGACGTGTAGAACGTTCTTATTTAAATCTATGTAAACATCTAGGTTAAATTCTGTGATTAATATGTATATATGACTCTTTTAAAAAATTATTGCTACTAATAGGTTGAAACTGAGAAAATGAAAGAGAGAAAGAAAGAGAGGGAGGAGAGATGCCACCTAGGAAAAAAGAGTTTTTCACACCAGGCTTTTATTCCCTCATATTGAGCTAAATTTAGGAACAAGAAATAAAGGAGAGAAAATGGCAAAACATGCTCTCTTTTGCAGAGGATTGTAGAGAAAGAGAAATCCCCATAAGAAATAAATTTGGTGGCAATAGAGTGAGAGTTGGAGAATCCTTTGCTTCTGTGTGTTTAAAAGGTATAAATACACATTTTATATTTTCTTATTCATTGTATTGAGAATTAAATGAGGTAAAGTAGGAGAAAGCACCCATCTTAATGAATGACAAATAACAATTTTTCAAAGGAAAAATAATAATTGTTTTTCCTTTGGCTTTTCCAACCTTAACAGTGTTACCAGCACATCCAAGTTTGTAAAGTAGAATTGGAAAGGCATAATGGTTATAAGAATGGCATTTACAATTCAACACATTGACATTTCAATCTGAGTCTACCACTTACTACCTATGTAGCTTTAGACAATTTTTGTCACTCTTTAATGCTCTGATTTCCTTTCATAGCATAACACAGACAATATTAACAGGTAGTTATATAATGAGATACTATAATAAATGTGCTTAGTGAAGCACCTGGCTTACAGCAAGCACACTACTGCTGAGGAGGTTATTATTATTTCAGCAACTGGATAGCCCAAGTCCCAATATTTCACTGACATTGCCCTGTCACTGATTCTAGCTACGACCTTGGTCTCAAATCTCCCTAATAATTTCAAGTTTAAAAAGCCTCTGTCTACCTAGAGGACAGAAAACTAACTTTTATCAAGAACCTATGGCAACCCATATTTCTAGGCTTGGGATAATATCATCAGGTCCTATTTTCATCAACTGACACCTTTATGATAGCTCAGGATCACTGCCTTGATTGCTGCCCCTGAGTCATTTGATTTCTCTCCTGGCTATTTGTGAAACTCCCAAGGTGCTCGCTTATACTCTTAGAAAAAAAGTCTTGTGTTTCCCTCTCTGACCTCCTGCCATCTGCCAGGCAAGACCACAACTGCTGATGTCTCTTGGGAGATCACAGCTCCTCTGGGTGAAACTGTCCTATGCCCGTGGTCCCCATTGCTCACAAAATTGTAGCTACAGGGAAAGAATAACATATTGCCTTTTATTACTTTTTTACTTACAACTTGAACCTGTCCTTTTCATTAAGACCACACTGCACTGACAGACCAAGTGGCAAGTTTTTTTCATAAAGTAAAGAAATAATAGTGGGGAGGCCAGTCACGGTGCCTCACACCTGTAATCCCAGCATTTTAGGAGGCTGAGCTGGGCGGATCTCTTGAGATCAAGAGTTCGAGACCAGCCTTGCCAACATGGTGAAACCCTGTCTCTACTAAAAATACAAAAATTAGGCGGGCATGGGGGCGGACGCTTGTAATCCCAGCTACTCAGGAGGCTGAGGCAGGAGAATCGCTTGAACCCAGGAGGCAGAGCTTGCAGTGACCTGAAATTGTGCCACTGAACTCTAGCCTGGGAGACAGAGTGAGACTCGGTCTCAAAAACAAAAAACAAAAAAAACAAAACAAAAAAAAAAAAAAGAAAGAAAAAGAAAAGTAAAGAAAGAATAGTGGGGGAGGTAGGTTACATAAGACACCATTAAGTAAGCAGTGTGTCACCTCTCTAGCTCACAAGCCTGGTACCTGAATGTTCCATCTCTGTTAACCCCTATTTACCATTGGCTAGGGGCCAGCTTTCTTTTCCTACCAGGACTGCACTGAAATAGATCTTCTAGCACAGAGGACAGGACTCATCTCCAATGAGGTGTCAGAGACAAAGCCCTAGACTCCATCCTGGGTTTTGAACATAGAAGCCTCATTTTCATTTCCAAATTCTAACATTTGTAAGTATTGGCTATGATAATGTCCACTTATTTCAATAAAACATTCCTTTCTCCCTTGCAGTCCCTAAGTTATTCTTAATAGGAAAATTAAAGGAAGATAATCCTACATAAATTCAATTGTATTAGTAAGTCTTAAATAATACCTTGCGTAGGCTATCACTGAGCTAGTATGTTGTACTGAGCCAAACCAAGTTCTTACTATATTCTCTACTGCAGTGAAAGAGTACAGTGGAGTCTGATGACTCAGCAACCCTCGTGGGTTTTTCTTCTATAAAACAACTACATCAACAATTGTGCAAACATGGATCTCCCCAAGAATTTGCCTGATACATCCGGCTGCTTATCCAAATTTGTATACCTACAAAGAAAAAAGTTTCAAAGAAGACAACAGCCAGAATAAAAAATGAACTATAATTTCTGATAATAACACACAAATTAGCTTTTTTTCTGAATTATGCCCATTCAAGGAACAGGTTGACATTCAGCACAAAGTGAAAACCTACCCCAGAGGTAATATATGAATTCACCTGTACTCCTCAATGCCTAGGAAAGTAACCAGCAAAAAGAGACAAAAATACTTACATGTTATGTAAAGCAGAAAAGACCTGGGAGTTTCCCCATCATCTAACATTCATAGCTTCAAAAAACACGACATCGAAATCTAGTTTTAACAAAGTTATGTCATTACATTTCCTTATGCTCTTGGTTAGAATTCTGAACATGTTTACTCCTAGAAACATTAAGCCTGAATTTGAGAAGTTATGATATCTTTAGTTCACATTAAACTTTATAGCCCTCCAAATTGGTGTTCAAAACATTTAGTATTCAAAAACAAACAAACAAACAAAAACAAACAAAAAGACATATGTAGGGCTCAGATTCATGAGTCAGAGAAGCTAAAATACATTTGTTAAAATTGCAGTTTTCTCCAGCATGTATGTTTGTAACCTGAGTGTCTTACTAAACTATGATTTTTTTTTCCACACTCCATTCCAGTATCACAAATCTCAGTTTTTTTCCGACTTCCTTAACTATATAGCCATGTCTGCATACCTACTGCACCTCTTTTAAGTACAGGCCTTCACTCTTGCCTATGCAGGCAAGTATAGCAAATTCTTGCCTGGACTCAGCCTCCTCTTCAATATTCTGGCCTCCAGTCTCTTCCCTTTCAAGTGTAGCCTCCCCAGCTGTGTTCTGTTTCAAATACAAATATAACCTTATCACTTACCTACATGAAATCTCCATGGCTCTCTGTTATCTACAAAGTGAGCCCCAGTCTATTCTGGGATAAGAGGTCTACTCTGACATCCCCCCAGCTTATCCCACCCCTCCTTACCTCTCACCATTCTTTTCTTTTCAGTCACTGTGAATAATTTGTAGGCACATGCATAAGCCTGTGTGCACAAATGTACACACACACACCCCTAATGGTGCTTGTGGACCTCTGTGACTTTTATCCATGCTGTCCATAGGGCCTTAAATGTGTCTGCTCTTCTCCTTCTTATTCTTCTACATCTGTGTAACTTGTCTGGCTAATTCCTACTCTCTTTGAAACCCAAACCTGACATTACATTCACCAGAAAACGCTCTCTCATTTCCAGCCACCAGCCTCGTTAACTCATTATTTTATTAGTTTGTCATGGCTCCTAATTTCGTCTTTACAGATTTGTATTACCTGAGAGATTATAAGTTCCTTGCAGGCCCAGACTACATATTAATTATGTGTATATCTTCAAAGACCTGTATTGTGTCAGTCACATATTAATATTTGACTGCCAGGCATGGTGACTCATGCCTGTAATCCTAGCACTTTGGGAAGCCGAGGCAGGCAGATCACTTGAGGCCAGGAGTTTGAGACCATCCTGGCCAACATGGTGAAGCCTTGTCTCTACCAAAAAAACAAAAATTAGCTGGGCATGGTGGCCCTCCTATAATCCTAGCTACTGGGGAGTCTGAGTCAGGAGAATCACTTGAATCCTGGAGGCAGAGGTTGCTGTGAGCCAAGATCAGGCCACTGCACTCCAGCCTGGGAGACAGACCAAGCCTCTGTCTCAAACAAACAGACAAACAAAAAACATGAGTATTAATTTTGGCATACATGAACACATATATGAAAGAATCTGTTCTTTAAAGACCATTGGTGGGCCGGGCGCGGTGGCTCACGCCTGTAATCCCAGCACTTTGGGAGGCCGAGGCGGGCGGATCACGAGGTCAGGAGATCGAGACCATCCCGGCTAAAACGGTGAAACCCCGTCTCTACTAAAAATACAAAAAATTAGCCGGGCGTAGTGGCGGGCGCCTGTAGTCCCAGCTACTTGGGAGGCTGAGGCAGGAGAATGGCGTGAACCCGGGAGGCGGAGCTTGCAGTGAGCCGAGATCCCGCCACTGCACTCCAGCCTGGGCGACAGAGCGAGACTCCGTCTCAAAAAAAAAAAAAAAATAAAAATAAAAAGACCATTGGTGTATATAGACAACTTATAAATAAATATTGAGTAATTACTTCTGAAACCTTTTTATCCTTAGTTGCTGAATCACACAGTTTAACCCATTTTCAATATGACACCATTTATCATTCATTAATTTAAGAGTGTAGAGTCTCTTGTGTGTCAGAAACTGGGTCGATCCAGTGTATCTATGAGCTGAAATGATTAACAAAAAAGCTCATATAACTACAAAGTGAGGAAAGCGCTAAGAGTGAAATGAGAAGGAGGCTTTAAGAGAGTGTAAAGGAAGGGCTTGGCTTGGTCTAGAGGGACAAGAAACACCTCTTGGGAAAATTGATGGCCAGAGATCTGAGGATGTGCAGTTTACTAGATGAAGAGGGAAGAAAGACTGTTCTAGGCAAAGGGAAGCGTCCATGTAGTAACACTTGGGATGTTGGTTTATTCCTAGGATTGAGAGAAGCTACAGCAGCTAAAATGCAGAGATGAAGGAACACAGTCATACAGAGAAGACTGTGCCAATTTAGAAGGAAGTTTGGAATGGGACAGGAATAGGAAAGGAAAACTATTACATTACTTCAGAAAGATATCACGATACTCCCACATTGAGGCAAGGGAGCGAAATACATAGTGGTGGGAGTTGAGTAACATTTAAAGAGAAAAGTGAACTTCATTTGGCAACAGATTGGCATGCGCCAGTTGTGGGAGTGTGTAGTCAGGGATGAGTCTGAGACCCTGATTTACGGAGCTGATTGATCCTTTCATTGAGAAGATTAATTGAAGTCAACAGGCTTCTGAGAGGGTTCTGCAGAGACAAGAGCTCTGGCAGGTCTGCTAGGCACTGTTGGCTTTAGATGTCTTTTCGCACCACACTCCTACCAGATGACATTCTAGGAGTCACAGATATGGACAGTATTTGGAAAGAGTAGAGATAAGAGGAGGAACTCACAGCCAAACCATAAGAAATTCTAACATCTGTGGCTTTTTTGTAGACAAGAGAAGGGAGAGGGGTCAACTTCAGTTTGTTTCTATGTATTTGTTTTTATGATATGGTAAATTTTTGAAAAAGGAAAGAAAACACTCATTTTAAAATATAGGTCACAGTTCCAAAACAGTGCAGAAGCCAAAGTGGAAGTCTTTGGGAAAAAAAGATGGATAGAGGATAGATAGATAGATAGATAGATAGATAGATAGATAGATAGATAGACAGACAGACAGATGGAGGCATGAATTAAATTGAAATGAGTTCTCATCATCCAACAGATCACTGTAAAATGTACTTGAAAAATGAAAATTGTGTGTCTATATGTAGTGTCATATTTATTTTTTCTAGAGGAGAAGTGAGGGAGTATTTTTGCTAATGCTTTGCTTTTAATACTCACTACCTCTATTTGAATTAGGTATAAGCCAGTGGTCATCACCCCAGACATGATCATGATGACTCAGTATGAGGATTAATTACAAAAGTAATCATGTCCGTTATCTAATTATTCAAATCTTAATTGCAACTCTGTTGGCCCAATTAGTCCAGAACGCAAGGCTAATGTTAGGGATGGGTGGACACTCAGCATCTGTGCCTAACTGAGAGGCATCTGTTGCCAAGAGGTGAAGTGATGGAAAGTGTCCATTCACCAGCTGTGAAGCAAACACGTCTTAGAAAAGCACACAGGAGTCACAACAAAATGCAGCCCACGGGGCTGGGGATAGGCGGGGGGAAGATGTGGTAATGCTTCTGAGGCATCTGTTATCCCCTGGATGCACCACAGATCTCAAGCCATTGCATGTGCCACTATTGAGCACTATGATTAAAAATAGGAATTTTTTTTAAAAAGATATTTCTATTTCTTGTCCTTCACTAGTGGATAATGCTATAAAAAGAAATGGGCTAGCTGCAAATTTTTAACAAATAAATGTTTTTATAAATTTATTAGAACCATTTATGGCTCCTTTCGTTTCCTTGATCCATGTTATGCCTAATAAAAGAAATAGAATTGTACAGATCGAATATCTACTTATGTTAAGTATAAGTAATAAAATAATAGATCTCCTGATTGTTACTATTGATTTTGACTTTAGTAGCATACAGTATGCAATATCTCAGCATCTGATATATTTATATGCTATTATTGATTTTGACCATATTCTATAGGAAGGATTCTCTTAATAATGTTATTGATTTTTAAAATATTATTAATATTTATCAACCTCTCATGTTGGTATATAATCATTATTGAACTGTAATCAATTGTTAGTGAAAGAGAAGCAGCTGTATAAAGCATGACAAAACTGATTAGAAATTTAAGTACATCAACTTGTGACCTAGCTGTGGATTTGCTTTCACTGTTTATCGGCAGTGTCATGGTTTCAAGTTTTTATTAATCCACATTTTGAAACAGACAAATGGAAGAGTGTTTAAGTTTACTGAAGTTGGAAAATGTTAATTTACAGGAAATGTCTATACATCTTGCTTCTGAGTATAATAGAAATGATTTCAGCTTTTCACATTGGTTTCACAGAAGAAAATTACACTTCAAGAAAATTAAAAGAGTTTGGGGAGCATTTTCAGCATTGCATCTCCATGCTCCCTTGTTATTGAATCACAATAAGAAACCCTGTTAGTTCTCTGCTACTGAGCAAATTGCTTTCCACAATTATGGTTTATGTTTTAATGGGGATAGCTTCACATTAGGAGAGTTATTCCAAACCAGCATCGCCTCTTGATGCAGCACAGAACAGCACCCTGCCTCCTTTACAGAATCCATGCCTCCCATGTTGCCTCTAAGGAAAATATATAAATAAATGCTTGCCAATCTTGCTTCTGAGAGAGTTTTAATTGAGGATAATGAAACATCCCTAGCTCCAAAGCGAGAGTATAATGGCCACAAAGCCCTTTAAAATGCTAATAGGCACAGGACATTTGTGGACGTTATGTGAGATTACATGGTGTAGAAATGGTGTAGGTAGGTGACAGTTTGTCAGATTTAGCTGCAGCAATCATACTTATTTTCTCCATTTCTATTTGTGATGCCAATGTGAACGAAAAATGTAGGATGATACAAAGTCGGACCCTCAGCACTAAGCATCCTGCCTCTCTCTCTCTGTCTGTTTTGTGTTGCTCTAAAGGAATACCTTTGACTGGGTAATTAGTAAAGAATAGAGATTAATTTAGCTCATGGTTCTGCAGGCTGAGAAGTTCAAGGCCATACCCCTGGTTTCTTGCAAGGGCTTTCGTGCTGTGTCACAACATGGTGAAGGCCAAAGGGGAAATGAACTCATGTGAAGAGAGGGAAACCTGAGGGGCACACTGGCTCTATTACAATCCACTCTCACAGGAACAAATCCATTCCCAAGGGAAGTAATCCAGTCTTGTGAGAGTGGGAACTCACTACTAGGATCACAGCACCAAGCCATCCATCAGGGATCCACCCCCACAACCCAAACACCTCCCAACTAGACCCCACCTCCCAACACCTACATGCTGGGAATCAAATTTCAAAATGCACTTTGGTGGAGAACAACCAACCCTATTCAAATGACAGCACTGCCCTTCCTGCTATAGGGCATCTGCATAACACTCATAAAAAGAGTTCCAGAGGACCAGCAAGACAAAGAACCATTAATTACGCATGGTTTAATGTTTCTAGTTTCCATTTCCTCTCTCTATTTCAGTTGTATTCCACCTGCAGAACTCCTCTCTCATTTTAAATCACAGTGACAACATGAACAGCGCGTGTATACTTTAAGCAACTTACCAATTCAAGTGGGTTGCCTCAGCTGTAAGACATGAACTCATAAGTGATAAAGCTTGGCACTGCTTCAGTAAAATGGAATAAGAAATCACTTTGACAGAGCTTAGATTCTAGTCTGGGTTGCTAAATGTAGTTTTTTCTTTCTTTCTTTCTTTTTTTTTTCCTCTTTCAAGGTCGATGTTCTTTATTTTTATGTGGAGTATATCTTATGTGACAGCACAGGAAGAAATGTAGGCAGCCCAGGTTAATGCATTCGTGGTCACAATGAACTTGAAAGTGAAGGAAATCAGCTCTCTTGAGACATTCTGCTAGCATTCACCAGTTTAAAGGGAATCTTGATTAAATGGCCACAGTTATGGTGATGCCAAGAAATATGAGAGGCATGAAAGAAAAACTTTCAGTTGCTGGGAACTCCTTATTTCCTCTTGACTGCAATACAACACAAAGGCATGGTTTAGAATGCTTTCCTGTTGCAGCCTTTTCCACCTTGGGGATTTATAATTGGGACATTTTCATTTTTAAGTTGAAAGTGTTGGTCTCTGGGATTTAAGATGATAAGTGTCTTCCCTCAGCTTCATCACCTGCCAGCAATATAAGCACCATCTGCCCAGATGCCAGAGACTGGTCTATTACTCCTAGGGGACCTCATATGTGCTCGTGTGAGTGTTTGCATAAGAGCAATCAGTTGCAAACCACGTGCACTTATTAGTAACACCAGTAACTTTGTATATGTGTTTCCTTTCTGAATTTCCACGCTGAATATCTATTTTGTTTTATAAATTTATATTGTAAATAAATTTAAATATTATGGAACATTTAAACTTGAAGTTTAGGTTCAATCCCTAAAACTGTACTTTAAGTATTTTCTTCAAGAAATTTACAGTTAGATATTTTTCATTAATATTTCTTATTTATTTAGTGCTTTTACGAGCATGTTTTGCTATTTTACTCCACATTGGAAGTATACATTTTCCATTTTCTATCAACTGTGTCATTACAACTTATTTGTTATTTCAAAGTGTCTTTTGCAGGTATATAAAAATGCTGGCCAGGCTCAGTGACTCACACTTGTAATCCCAGCACTTTGGGAGGCCAAGGCGGGGGCATCACTTGAGGTCAGGAGTTCAAGACCAGACTGGCCAACGTGGTGAAAAGCCGCCTCCAGTAAAAATACAAAAATTAGCTGGGCATGGTGATGCACGCCTGTAATCCCAAATTCTCAGGAGTCTGAGGCAGGAGCATCACTTGAACCCGGAAGGCAGAGGTTGCAGTGAGCTGAGATCATATCACTGCACTCCAGCCTGGGCAAAAGACGGAGACTCTGTCTCAAAAAACAAACAAAAAACCAAACACAAATCCTGTAGATTTTGGCTGCTGTATCTCTCACACTACTGAACAAAATGTGAATAGATTTTCACTGGTTAATCTACAATCATTTGGCACAGCTTGACTATATGGTTAGATATTAATTTCAGAGCTTTTTCTGATAAATTCAAATCAAAATGAAGTGGGTGAAGGACTTGGTATTATTACATTTCTTTTGAGGATTTTACTGAATGACAATAGTTATTGACTTTTTAAAAAATTCTTCATATATGTGTGTTTCAAATTGACTTTGAAAGAGGCAGTGTTACTTTTGCCTAAATCTTATGCCGCACATACAAGAAGGCAGTACAAAATTAAGATTCTTAATAATGTCAGGCACTTAACTGCAGAGAGATCTTACTCAAGGGCACTTAAGGAGAGGAGATTCCCCTGAGAAGATGCCCAGATGCAATTCTGTCAGGTGTACTTAGAACCAAATGAATGACTCAAGTATTTCTCTTCAGAATGTTCTGGGAATCACAAATGTGCTTAATTTGACCAGGTTCTCCTACTGGTTATGATGAAGTCCTTCAATATTGTTTTTTACTGTTCTTAATGCAAATCACAGAGGATTTTCTTCCTTTCATACGCCTTAGCATACACAAAGAAAGAGTGGCATATAGATATAAATCTTTTTTTGTGGAATAAATGTAAATGGAACTGATTTCCCAAAACCCACTTCATTCCCTATTTTAGTGATAATCAGTAAAACTCCTACCACAATAGAAAATTTAAAAATCTTGCTGCTTTGTCAGATTTCTTTTGTCCCATGAAGCATCTTCCCTTACCTTATGACAAATAAGCACTAGGACTTTCTCACTTATACACGGAAATGTGTTTGAGACAATGAATAGTAAATAATGTCATCTACATGAAAAGGGACACACTGTGAATGGCAAGGTAAAAGTCTTTGATTCTATGGTACACAATTTCTATTTCTCCCAACCAATTTAGGATTCAGGTTACATGCCAGTAGCTCACGTGTGCCATTTCTGCATAAATAGTTTTGTAACATGCCTTGATATGTGAATCAAAGACCAGCCTGCCCAACATGGTGAAACCTGTCTCTACTGTAAATAAAAAAAATTAGCCAGGCATGGAGGTGCACACCTGTAATCCCAGCTACTTGGGAGGCTGAGGCAGGAGAATCACTTGAACCTGGGAGGCAGAGATTGCAGTGAGCCAAGATTGCACCACTGCACGCCAGCCTGAGCAACAAAAGTGAAACTCCTTCTCAAAAAAAAAAAAAAAAGAGAGAGAGAGAGAAGGAGGACTCTGTTTCTTTCTGCAGATGAACAAAAAGAATGTTTTATTTGCCAGAAGTAGAAGGGAGAAGGAAGATTTATAAGCACACATCTTTAGATAAACTGTGGGAGCTAAATGATGAGAACACATGGACGGATAGAGAGGAACAACACACACTGGGGCCTTTCAGAGAGGGTAGGGTGGGAGAGGGGAGGGGATCAGGAAAATTAACTAATGTGTACTAGGTTTAATATCTGGGCAATGAAGTCATCTGTACAACAAACCCCCATGACAGAAGTTTACCTACATAACAAACCTGCACTTTCACCCTTGAACTTAAAAGTTTTTTAAAAAAATGACTTTAGTGCTGTATACTAGGCATTGTGTGACTTGGCAACATTTTCCACATGGAGAAATGAAGAGTCTGAGACTACTGTTGGGGGGAATGATATTCACAGCAGAGTAAGGGTCATGGCTGGCTTACATCCAGACTTTGAGCTGGTTCTGCACATGTGAAGTAAGGACAGGAGTTCTAAATAAGAAGATGTAGTTCTCAGGAGGATTTATTTTTCTCTGTTCCAATCCATTCTTTCTTTCTCAGCATTTGCTGTGTTCATTGTCGTGCATATACATATATCAAGGCAGTTATTCTTCATTTGCTTTGGGCCACTAGTTTCACAATTACTAGTTATGAACATTTTAGACACAGAGGACAGATCTCGCTATAGTTGTTGAGGAATGGATGAAGAAGGAGCTCTAGGCAAGAGATATTTAAGGCTCTGAAATTATCTTTTGCCTTAACTTTGCCTCAGGGGAAAAAATGTTGTTATACATTTTACTAGTGATATTTACACAATATATATTTTTTGGAAATGGAAAACTATTTTTAGTTTCAAAAACCAAGGGTCAATTTTATGAACCCATCTCACTACTTCCAATCTAGGACTCTATCAAGAATAACTTTATTATCTCTTAGGCATGTGTTACATGCCAAAAACTTTGGATTTATTGTCTTAGTCCTCTCTACAGTCTTAAGAGTAGCCATTATTGCCCATTTAATAAAGTAACAAAAAAAACCGAGTTAAGAAACATTTCATGCCTTATCTAAATTCATACCCTTAACCACACAACTGGAAGGTCAGACCCAGGTTTCTCTAATTCCATACTTTGTAATTTTTTTTTTTTTATCACTAGGGTATTTATTCTTCCTTTGCAAACTAGCCGTTCTTCATATATTAGGACAGAAAATAAAAATAGGCCATTAATGACTCTACTCTAGTTATTTTTGTGTAGAAAGGACCCTTTCTAACTGTCAAGTCTCTTGCTTTGGGGGGATATTTCTGACTGTATCACTGCTTTCTTTATCCTTTCAGTTTAATGACTTTGCAGAATGCCTTATGACTTTCTGGGATTTTTTAACATTGCACTTGACTTTCAGTCAATTCTGTTTAGCTCGTAAGATTTCTTGTGTCCTGTGGGTATGAGTGAGATTGTCCCTGCTGATCCTTAGCAGTAGTACCTACAGTTGCCCCTTCCTTCTTATGGCAAGGTCAGGGAGAATTCTTAGTGACTTGCATGAAATAGAGTAAATGCTGTATTTTAAGGGTAAAATTTTTGGTTTCATTAAATTTCACGAGAAGAAATCACCCGTTTCCACGTGCTTTCTTATCTGGTTACCACCATATAGTTCTTTCTTCTTTATAAGAAAAAAATATTTTAAAAGTAGTCTGTGCTATAACTTCTGATTCTTTTCTGTCCCATGCACTTTACAACTCAAAAAAATATTTTAAAAGTAGTCTGTGCTATAACTTCTGATTCTTTTCTGTCCCATGCACTTTACAACAGGCTTTATAGCTGCCTGTCTAGCTCCAATAACAACAGACTTGATAATCCTAAAAAGAAATTCTGATCACCAAATATTATAAGCAATATTTTATTTAGTCCTCATCTTGATTCACCAGTCTCTCCTTGAATGTCTCTCACTTCGCTTGGTTTTTATTCCCAAATTTCTTGCTGTTTTATTTCTACCCATGTAGCCATTTCTTTTTAATTTTCTTTGGCTCAAATTCTTTCATTCTCCTTCTAAGATTATTCCTGTGGTTGAGCCAAAGCCAGTCTCTATGTGTTCCCAGCCACATTCATAACTTTATCTGCAACTTGTACCAATGACTGTCAAATTTGTTTCATCAGTCCACTTCTCTCTTTGAGCACCATGTAGTACTTATCTCTATTATTCTTCTAAACTTCTCCATGCTAAACAACTAAAGTTCAGCCTTTGGAAAATGTAACTGAGAATTCACCATAAAATGCTTCATCGCTATCTTCTTATTGGCACTATAAGCTCTAATCAGTTGTAGAGAAAGTTCTACAACTCATTAGAACTTATAGTGTTGATCATTTGCTCATGAGGCCTCTCTTACCTTGGGTCCAGCCCAGCCAGTCAGAAACAATCACTACATTAATCTAAGTATCTCTCAGTTGCACTTTCTCATCTATAACCCAACTGCTGTGCCTTCTTCAGTATCTTCAGTCCAGGCAGGATCTTGGGCTATTAATATAGCCTCCTAAAATATTTCCCTATTTTTAGAACACCTGCACTCCATCTCTTCCTTTTATTTTCCTATTGTGTAAAATTTCTAAAAACAAAAATTAACTGTGCTCCCACCCTGCATAGTTACCTCAATACAGCTCATTCTAACAGGCAAAATATTCTTTTAGGTGAGCATTTATGGAGAAACAAACATCTACCAAACTAGGTGCTGAACAAACAATGGTAACACTGATGCAATCCTCTTATGGTAGGTAAAATGGACTGTAATCAAATCACTTAGCAAACAAAGGTACAATTACAACACCAACATGTGGAATGCATATATTGAGGTGAATTGAGAAACCTGGGAAGTCAGAGAGGGAGACTTTAAGTTGCAAACTGAAAAATGATAAAAGCTAGGTTAGAAAAAAAGGAATCTAAACAAGGGAAACAAAGTGAATACAATTCCTTAAGTAGGAAGAGGCTCGGAAAATTTAAGAAATGAAAGATCAGTATATTTGAACAGAGAGAAGAAATAAGAGAATGTGACTAATTGTTCAGGTCGTAAAAACTATAAACCTAGTCTTTATTCTAAATTCAAAGAAAACTAATTATAGGGCTTAAAGATGGAGTGGGGGAGTGATATACTTAGAAAACAGACTGAAAAAGTCAGAGTGCATGGAGTGCAGCAGAGTAGAAGATATTGCCAGAAAGAGATCAAGATAGCCTGGGATATAAAGATTGTAGTGAGTATGGAGAGATGTGGCAAGACTTCCGGGATGATTTGGGAGTAGTTTCTTAATATGTGATTAAAAATTTTAAGTACTCATATATGGATGGCATGGGGCAGAGAGGAATCAAAGAGAGAGAGAGAGATCAAGGATGACTCCCAGATGTCTAATTTGCAGAAAGGGAAATTACCATTCCCTGAAATTAGGAGCCAAGAAAAAAGACAGATATTGATGGAAGAAACAGGGCAAGATGATAGTGTCTGCTTTTGTGTACATTATATTAAATGTGCCATAAAACATAACACCAAAGAGTATTTGGAAATTGTTAAGTGCATGTGAATAAAACTAAAAAGAATCTCGAAATAAAAAAATATAAATAAGCCCGAGATTGAAATATAAATATTGGGAACACTGGCACAAAATAGCAATACAACTCTAGACATAAATGTGCTTATGTAGGGAGAGAATATAGATCTCTAAGAAAAAAAGGCAAAGATGAGTCTTTCAGAATTTCAGTATTTTATGTTTCCATAGAAGATGAGATGTCTAAGGAGACTGTAAAGGAGGATGGGGAAGAATGCTGAGGAGAATAGGGGACTTCTATGTGATAAAGGAGAGGGAAGACTTTCTAGGTGAAGGGGGTCATCAAGTATCTCTAGGAATATGAATGCAAAAAAAAAGCTTACTAATGTTTATTAGATTTGTTCACATGGAACTTTATACGTGACCCTATCAACAACTTTCACAAGTAGTAGGAATTTGAAGGGAAATTAGAGCCAGTTGCAAATGTTAGTGGGAGAGAAAGAAATGAACAGAGATTCAGACGGTATACAACGCTTCTTGATAATTTTGCTTGTGAGGGAGAAGAGAGGATGATCTGCTGTCCAACAGAGGGTCTGTGTGTCTATTTTTGTAAGTAATGTGAAGGGGTTTGCATACACAGGGGAAGGATTTAGTTAAGTAGTCAATGTCAAATACATCAAAGAGATAATGTAATTCAAGGTACCCCAAATTATGTGCCTTTTGATGTCTAACAAATAATGTGACTCAATACAAGCAGGACAACTAGATATAAAGTCATAAACAATTATAGATTCTGTGGGTAACTGCAGTGTATTCTCTATGGGCATTCAAATTCAAAAACTGGCTGGGCACGGTGGCTCATGCCCATAATCCCAGCACTTTGGGAGGCTGAGACAGACAGATCACTTGAGGTCAGGAGTTCGAGACCAGCCTGGCCAACATGGCAAAACCCCGTCTCTAAAGTTAGCCAGGCATTGTGGTGCATGCCTATAATCCCAGCTACTCGGAGGCTAAGGCAGGAAAATCGCTTGAAACCCGGGAGGCAGAGGTTGCAGTGAGTTAAGATCGCCCCACTGCACTCCAGCTTGGGCGACAAAGTGAAACTCCGTCTCAAAAAATAAAAAATAAAAAATAAAAAAATAAACAAAAAAAAATCAAAAACTGTGATTTTTGTATTGAGTATTGAAAACTTTGGCAAAAGGATAGTCTTACAGACAAAAATAGATGATTGATGTACTGTAAAAGGAAAAAAAAATTAAGCCACTGTAGACTTAGGTGAGTTTGTTGTAGGTTGTGGGAAGAAAAGATTAATTGGTTCTCTATCAATAAGTCCAGTTTTCTCTAAGTAGATAACAAAGTCATTTCATGAAACCAGAGCTGAAATTTAAAAGGACTGAGGAAAGTGAGTGGCTGTAGGGTGAGTTAGGTAGGAAAAAAAGCAAAATGAGGCAGTCGAATGGTTTATGATCTAGGTTATTTCCTGTGGCATTCATGATGTGATCCATGTTTGCAGTAGATGTTATTGCAGAGAGAAAATTTCTAAGAATGTCCAAGTTCCTTCATAAATGAGGGAAATTAATGAGATCTAATCTCCTTAACATAATTCATCCTTAATTATCTTTCTGACTTGGATTCATGATCTTCCATGTTAGGCTTCCCACACAACAACCACAAGTACTCTGAAGTCACCGTGAATTTACCCACTCTATTTGCATGTGTTAGTGGCTTCCTCTACTTGGTAATACCACTCTGTTTGGTGAATTAATGTTTCTTATTTTTTAAGATGCAGATGACACACATTTGTCACTCTTAGTACCTTCCTAAATCTCTCAACTTTAGAACTCTATAGGTGCTAAATTAATAGATGGAAGGCCAATTTGTTTAGTTACTTAAGTGTGAGTTTATTTTGAATTTGTTTCTGAAATCGTTGCTTAATTCTGTGGCACCACTCATTTTTATCCAGTGCAAATGCTAATGTGATCAAATTGAGAAACTTTAAAAACATATTCTGACCCACAGGAGCTATGTACCATCAGCTAAAAAGTTGTTCTTAAGGTAATCTTCAAGCCGTTATAATCTTTTAATTTATTGCATTTTAGAAGAATAATGACTGAATTTTAGATTTGTATTAAAATAATTAACTTCTGAAACTTTTAATTTATCTTCCAACTTTACGATAATGAGCAAAATATCATAGTTTAAACTTAAATTTAATTGCTTTTAAGACAAATTCTGAAAAGCTTTAAGCATTTTCTATTTATAGTACTAAATCTCCTCTTATTGGATGAAAGCAATTAACCTGCCTCCAAAGAATACTCTATAGTATGTCATAAACCCATATTTGATAACAACACAAATAATCACAAGCAAATTAATTTTGCTTTCTTACATTCATTATCTATTGAAGAAAACCTCATAAGAAATACATGTCCATGTACATAGATGAATTCTGTTTTGTTTGGAAGAATGCATAAGTTTGAAATGCTATGTTTACCAGGAGTCTCCTCACTGCTATTTATTAACTGCCTATTATGTGCCAATACTTCTTTCAGTACTCAACATTTATGAGATCATTTTAATCCTAGAAGAGCAAGGATTATCACCCTTGTATTCCAGATGATAAAACTGCATTTTAAGTGCATATGCTTCAATTTGAACTCAGACCCACTTGAGTCCTCACCTCACAATCTTAACCATTGTGCAAGTCTGTCTTTTCAGAGTTAAAATATTAAAGAGATTTTCAAATGCAAATCATTTTAGTGCATTTGTTATTAAAGTGCAATATATTCCTTAAATCAAATTAGAAAGCAGAAAGGGAAAGTTCCTTTAATTCCAGACTCATAAAGATGCCAACATTTTCATGTCTATTATATCTTTTCTTGGTATAGTAGAACCACAAAACAACAAGTTTATTTGACTCTCAGTTTTACAAAGTTAAAAAGATTGATAATACCTAGAGTTCACAGTATGTGAGGAAAAGGGTACCCTGAGGACTATTGGTAAGAGTATGAATTGGTGTTACTCTTCAGAATGGCAACTTGCCAATATGTGTTAAATGTTAACAGCATTTATCTAGCAATTTCAGCTTCTAAGAGTTTAATTAATAGAAACAATCAGAAAAAGACACAAAGATTGATGAATAAACTCTGTTGCATAAAGAGATGTTCATTGTTTATAACAGAAAAGTGGTTTTACAAATTAGAAATACATAGATATTCAAAAGTAAATTTTCTGCAAAAATATTACTATTAATACCATAGGTATTTATAATTTTGAGGATATCTGATATCCCCATCACAATAATCTATCACAACAACCCAAGGAAGGCTTTAATGAGCATAAGAATAATTAAGTCAATGATATCTCTGGTATCCATGGTATTTGAGCTGAGTCCACATCTGAAGGAGTTTAACTTTGAGATCTAATCTGAAATCTAAATAGAAGTTAGCATGAGAAAGGATAGGTGTTAAAATTCTGCTGGGCAGAGGGGCATGACCAATTAGATCTAAGGGATGAGAGGTAGCCTTGACTATTTAGGAAATAATAAATATCTTGGTATTCCTGAAACACGGTGTGGATACATGCCAGTGAGGGAAGATGCAGCTGGAGAAGTCAACAGCAATCATGTTACTTTCTGTTTCTTTCACCATCAGTAGTGATATCTTCATTTACTATTGTCTGTTTTTCACAATTTGAACATAGTAAAATGTTATTTTATGATTGGAATTAAGTGTTCACCATGCTATGTTTAGTAAGCTAGCTACCTTTTAATTTGTCAAACCATCTCTCTATCTACTTAAAAACCAACAGAGTCGTTGAAGCTAAGAGAGAAATGTCCAGAGGATTTTTTTTAGAGAAAAGAACACATGAAGCAACCCCTCTCTCAGTTGTGTGTCTATATAAGTGTTTGATGGTGTGATAGGTGGGTGGCTCTCCTCATATTTTTCCAAGTCTCACAGAGAGAGGTTGCTCTAGAATAGCAGCCCCCATGGCCGTGATCCAGCCATGTGTGATTAATTTCTAAATGTGGAAATCAAAGCCAGCTTTAATCAGTTTCAAAGCTATATAGAGATCCAATAGAAGGGTAACTCCAAATTAAAGTCTGTGCTTGAATATGGATTTTCTTTGAATAGTTGGATTTTCAAAGAATTTGTGAAATTTTTTAAGTTGATACTATATCTACTTGTGCTACATAATTTAAACATGAGATTCATTATTCCTTCCCCTGTGAAGCAAGGTTTTCAGGCACTAAGTTCTACAGAGGGATTCCCACACCCAAATTACAGGAAACTTACTCCTGTTTCTGCAATATATTTTCATTTCATTTAGAAGATAAATACAACTAATGAGAAAAAAGCAAAGCGACTTCTGTATGAAAAAAATAGGTAGGGAAATTTGTGATTTCACCATAAAATAATCATGGGATTTGTGTCAACATTTCCATTAATCAGGATTTCTGCAGAACCTGCAACGTGCTAAGTACTGAGGGTAGAGTAACCACCTAGGAAGTCAAAATCCCTGTTTCATGCCATTTATAATACCATTTACATTCAGTGAAGCAAGAAACAAATACGTATTATGTCAGGTTATCATAAATACTATTGATTACAATAAAAGGCAGGGTTGGAGGGTAGCAGATATGAGCATATGCCTGTGTGTGAATCAGTAGTGTGGGTGGCTTGTCTGATCATATGGCAGCTTGGTTGAGGCATGAGCAAAGAGGCAAAGCATGAAGATATCGAGGGAAAGGGCATTGCAGGCAAATGGGGCTGCAGGATAGTGAGGGAAGTCAGAGGTGATACAGGAGGAAGTGAAAGAGGTAGAAAGTGCCCCAACTCTATGAGGGCTCTGAGTTTGGATATGCTCCTAGCAGAAGAGTGGTATGATCTGATTAAATGATCACTCCCACTCCCCTGTGGAAGAGATCTGGTTTGACTGGTAGGAGAGCAGAAGCAGAGAGACAAGATAGGGTGGCAGTTAGGCAGAAAGTGACAGTAGCTTGGAATACAGTATTCATAATGGAGAGATACCAAGTGCAAGTATTGAAAAGACATTTGGGGTAGAACTAACCAGACTCTGCTATTGGAATAGATAAGGAAGGAATAAAAAGATGACACCTAGCATTTGGTATGAGAAACAAAGCTGCTGGCTTATTTAGGTGAGGAAGGCAGGAAGAAAGCAAAATAGAAGATAATTGAGCAGAGAATGTTATATAACAAACGTGATCATCTGAACACAGCTATTTAAAGTATCAGAAAGACTGTTTCCTAAAACACATGGATTAAGATACTATATATTGATCAGTTAAACTTAATCTGGAGACAGACTTTCAAAAAAAGAAACAAAGCAACAAAACAATGAAGGGATTTACATGTTTACATGGTTTTGAATCTTTCATTCAAATATGAAAAGTGAAAATCTTGCCACTGCATTCAGATATACAAAGTTTGTCCTGGATTATAAGGATGATATGGACATTCACACCCTAATACCCCGAAGTGTATATATGTGATAGAGTTTGTTTGAAGATAATGTATACACTGAGAACTAGGACGAGTCAAATGAGCCCAGTTGCTCAATAATCCATAGAGACGTGTTAAAGCAGATTGAGCTGGACTGGATTCAGCACAGAAAGGGTTCCGGGAAGGAGATACCAGCCCTATAATGATCTACACATTTTTAGGAGTGGAGAAAGGAAGAAAATAAACATCTAGTAACCCTGTGATGATTGGTGCTTCTTGGTTTAGGAAGTGGCCGAGTTAAAAGGAGAAAGCTCCTGAGCTCAGCCTCTGGTCCTATTTATTGCGCTAGTTCAGGTGAGCTGATCCAGTTTCTTGCTAAGTCACTGAAAGGGTGGAGGAGATGAGCCATCAGGGATATCTAGAATTTTCTCTCCTTACCCTGATTAGACTTCATTCTGCCATCAGCATTCACGCTTTCTGTTGTAGGTTGACCTACATAGATACCACCTATACAGATTCCTTTTACAGGCATGTCCCATTCAACCTATAAATCTTTAGCTGCATTATTTTATTTTCTATTCTTTTTAATTAACACCATATATTTCTTAATTTTGGTTATAAAAAATTTACATTTCCTTCTGATACTTAGGAAAACTCAAGCCTGGGAAATAGGCAAAGAAATACATTTATAGATATATACATATATTTTTTTTCATTCTCAAGTTTTCCAAATAGATTTATATTAGCTTTCTGTTTGATCCTGAACTTCTGAGTCCTTCTGGCATTTAACAGAATAACCTGATAGACACAGAAGAAGCTACCATATTTTGCTTTAAACAATTTTTTCTACATCTGACATGGATAGATGGTTTACTATTTGTGAAGAAGAAAAATGTGTCTGTACATTAAATTTTCTAAATTAATGCTATTACACACAATGTGTAACAAATACTGATAATCTGTTAAACCAGGCATGTTTAGAAACCCTATTAAACCTAAAAGAAAGAACTAAATTTATTTATGAGACAATTCACAAAGTAAAAGCATTTCTTTAAATCTGAAATGTAATTGATTGAGAATGAGGGTTTTTGTATGTGCTAAATAATTAGGCATTTAATACATAGTTTAATTCATTAATATTTATTTTAAAATATTAATTTAACTCTAGGTAAGTAGGTATAGGACATTTATAATAATAACATTAATGTGGAAGACTAATAAATAATATAGAGTCATTAGAGCCTTGAGATGGTTGTTAGTGTCTTATATTCCTGGCACAGCAAAATTTCTTTCAAAATTAATACAATTTAAAGACAGTTCTTTAAAATTTATAGCTTTGCAAATTGAGTTGACATTAGTTATCTGTATGGTTGTGCATATATAAAGCATATTTGCAACTTTTTATCATTGGTGACCAGAGTGTGGTGGATTCGGTTAATTAGAAATCCACATTAATATACCCTCTTTTTAGTGTATTTTGACTCAGTCTTTACTTGTCCTCAAGATAAATGGTATTGACTGATTCCCGTGGTTCACTTAATAGAACAGGCAGAACTCCATTTGTATTCATTATGGTCGGTCTATATTAATCATTCCATTTCTTACCTAAAGCTATGTCAGGACATATTTTCCAATTCATGATTTCTGCCTGATTTTTCACTAAATTCTAGGCTTGCAGTTTAGTTAAAAAACAAAACTTAATTACAGTTTTGAAAAGCTTTTAGAAATGCCATTGGATCTTGAACTGATTAAACAAACCATTTTGTTATATCAATGTGTTGACAAACTATTAGGGACATAGTCATACTTACTGTTTTTGCTTTAATTTTAACTTACTATTAAATTAGATGAAATTTGAAGCAAGTTTTATTTTTGAAGTATTTACAAAGTTCAAGGTACTGTGCAAGGTACTGAAAGAAATACAAGAGAAGTAGAGCTTTAAGCATGTGTTTAGTGTAATGAAGACAACACAGGATTTAGTCGAAGTTGAGGACATTTTATTTTGAATTTCCAATGAATCTTGTGCCACATTTTTTACATCAACCTTGTCATCTATAGAATGAGAATACTAACAATTATTGATCTACTTACTTCAAATGTTTTGTGAAAATGAAATGATATTTATTCGTAAAGCATTGCATGCGTTACAAATCACAATATTTATATTCACCTAATGTGTTTCACAGAATACTAGTAATTCTATGAGTATAACCAAAAGTGATTCCTGGCCAAACATGTTTGGGAAATGCAGCATACTATCTCCATTCCACTTGGAGTGGCATGTGGCATATCAGCTTTTACAGGCTCAACTATTTTTTCTAGACTAGGATTCTCCACATTTCTTTAAGCGTACTTTATCATAAAATACTAATTAGTATTGCAAAAAATTATGGTAACATCGAAAATACTAAGGAAATTACACATTACGTAAGTGTTAGTTGTGCTTTTACTATCACAGTGTATGTGGTAGGAGTAACAATTTTAGTATATGAATAGCTACAGCACACAGCAGACAAACAATATAATAAAAGTAGTAAAAATTACATCATACCATCTCATAGAAAGGAAGAGTTAACCAAGGTTGTAAAAATCGAAGTAATTCTTCAAAATATTTGAATATCTAATCTGTATATAGGATTCTATTTGGATGTCCAGGATATCCAAGCCTAATCCTATATAAGGGTTAGATATCTAAAGTCTAATTCTATATACAGGTTATTTCAAATATTTTAAAGCATTTGAAATATTTATTAATATTTATTTAATATTTATTAATATTTATTAATATTTATATTATATAAAAGTGTATGTATTATAATTATATAAATTTCATAAATTATATTATATAAATTATATTAGATTTATAAAATGTAAATTATATTATATAATTACATAAATTATATAATTATAAAATTTAAATTATATAAATTATATAATTATATAACAAATCATATATATGTAATTAAATGTGTACATTTAGCACATGTATGTACATACATGTACACACAGGCCACCACCACTACCAAAAGTATTATGCTAAATGAAAATCAATAAAGCAAAATGTAAATGATGTATTACGGAGGACAGAACGTAGAAATGGACAGCCTAGTTTGATAAAGTTTGTTTTGTGGATATGTTAATCCTCACATGTCAATTTGACATCTAGAAGAAAATACAAACCAGACAAAAATGTCATTGGTTCTGATTAATGAGTCTTGGGTAATGTCTGTATTTGAGTTTGAGAAAAGATGGGTTGTGGTTCATCCTCAGAATTACAAAATTAGGAGAAAATTCAGTACAATACAATGACACAGCATCTAATGAACTAAAAATTTCTTTCATTTTGCTATGTAAAATTTGCATTAATATAGATTTAAAATTAAAATAAATTAAATGAATTCATTCTCACCATGCAAATATTAAAAAATAGAGAAAAAAGGAAATGCATTCAATAAAATATAAGAGTAACAGTAGACAGTATACAGTCATCTACCCAACAGACATCCCTCTTCCCTGTTTAGAGACTATGACTTATGTTCCGAAAACCACATTCATTCACAAAGCAATGGAATTTAAGGAAAGAGACCTCCCAGTTCCTGATGAAAGAAGTGAATCTTGACTAATTTAGCTAACTATGAACCTTTTAGTCCTCTTGCTATTTGTTTTAGGAACAAACATGCTACAAAGTTTCAGCCAATGAGATACAAGGGAACTGATTTCTTGTGGGGCTTTAAGAGAGAAACAAGGAAGATTGAGTTCTCGTTCTTGCAGATCCTGATGTGTGTCAATTGGTAGATGGAGCTGCTTCCGTCATCTTCAAGGAGGAGATAAGAGGCTCAGGTAACATGCTGAGGAGTATAGTGAATAAAGAGGGAAAAAGTGTGGATCCTTGATGATGCTGTTGAGGTGCTGAATTTAAAATTAAGTCAGTTTGCCTTGGATGTCTTGTTTGGAGAGATGATAATTTCTTTTATCATTGAAAATATATTGTACTAGCACTTTATTTACAGCCCAAATCATTTCACTTGATGAAACATTAGAGAAGAAAATATTTGTTCTTTTTCCCAGATGCTATAACTTCACATAGCATTTCTGTAATTTGTTTTCTGCATTTTCAAAAAATTGGAGGCATCTAAATTCAAAATCACAATGAACTTAAAATATCTTCCCCAATTAATAGGAAGTGATGACACCTGTACATAGACAAGGAACTCAGGTTACCTTTCTCACTCCTACACCTGCCTTCTTTATATCTCAATTCTTCCTTAACTGATTTTCCCTAGGGGATCTTCCTGGATTAACCTTGCACAATTTGTCTTTAAAAAGATAGATCAGCAAGTTTTCCAGGTGATATATAACCAAACACTTCCACTTTCTTGAGCAAAGGGATAAACACAATACAAATGTAAATATAGGAGCTATGCAGTCTAAGGGAGTGGTTAAGCATGAGTGGTTTGAAGCCAGTTTTAAAAGGATTAAGTTCTGACCCTACCACTTACTAGCTGTGTGGCCTCAGCCAAGGCATTTATGTTTCTGTGTCCTTCCTATAAAAAGTGGGGATATATCATTGGCATTCAGTATTATCGTAAGGATGAAGTGCTTATAAAAGTGCCACACAGATAGTATGCACTCTTAAATGAGCAACTAACAAACCATATAGAAGGCCGCCCTTTGCTTAGCTCATTTGGAAAGTCTAAATGTATGCCAAAGAATGTATATTTTAAGTCAATATGTATTACACTCATATTATCAGAGGAAGTAATTTTCCTCATAACTATGGAGCAGTCAGTCACTGGTATTACATCTAAGCAACATCTTATAATAACAATGCTTAATAGCCATCTAGTACATTTATTCTAAGTAGCTGGGAGCACTTAACGAACATTATCCAATTAATCATTAGAGATTCCTGTGTGGTAAGTGGGAATTGTTATCTCAGCGTTAGTGATAATGATAGGGATATGCAAAGCCAGTCATCTGCATGATAAATCTGAATGACTTTTGCAGCATGTGGCCAGGAATAGAAGCAAAGGCCTGATTCCTTGTCAATGATGCTGTTCAGTGGACCATGCAAGTTCTTGGACTAGATATTCTTGGATTGTTTCTTTCCAAATAACATGGAAGCATATCTAATTTTAACTGTTAAAACTGGCAAAAAGACCCAAGTATTTGTGGACCTCTGACAGCACCTATTTTTAAGCATATATCTACTAACATTTGGGTTTTAGATGATCACGAATTCTAACAACTTGAAACTAACTGCTACCAACTGCTGCTTAATTAAAATTCTACTTAACAGTAGCTATGGACAAAATAAGTAAAATAAGATAAATGTTAATTTTAAAGTTCAATCTAATTGGAAGTTAGAAAAAAGTCATACTATTAAGATCATAATTATCACAAAAAATGTGGCACCAGCTCCCAAATTCAGTGAATTCGTGATTCTGCTGCCAGAGGTTAGATTGTACAATGTTAACTGAGACATATTACTTTGACATAGAAACGTGAGTTCAGAAGTAGCCTGGGAAGAATGATAATTAGAGGAAAGCACTGAATTTGAAAATGTAAAAAAGAAGCTTATATATAACTTATATATAAGAAGCTTATATATAAGTTATATATAAGAAGCTTATATGTAAGTTAACTCATCATTTGAATTGCCATTTCTCTAAGTGAACGTAAAACAAACCCTCCCAGCTTCAGGTAATGATTTATTTAACTACAGTAAATTATATCTACAATTTAGGATTGTTGTTAGCCTTAAAAATGTCAAAGAAGTACAATTGCCTTAAAAGTATTCAGGAAATGTTAGTATGTGAAATGTGAAAAGTCAGTTGAATTATTCAATACATTCAATTCCCTCAAACTAACACACCTAGAAGATACATCAAGAAAATCAGAACAACTTAAAGTTTTTGATCATTATTATTATCTTTTGCCTTTGAATATTGATATCTTCAATAAAATATATTCAAGAGAAGCAGGTCTGGCTATTATCGTTCCCCCTCCACAGCCCCAGTAATTGTTTCTACTATTCTGAGGGACATTCAGCTTTCTGCCTTTGTAGGTGTGTTATTCAACTACACATTTCACCCTTTCACAATTTGCTAGGTGTTAGATTTTTGGAAAATTAATCCAAAGATTGTAATGGCAAATAAAATTGTAGTGGTTTATTTCAATTAGGCATATTTTTAATAAGCAGTAAAGTTATATAACTTTAAGAAATAGGACCCTCATAGGAATATATGGAAGACATATATTAACAAGTATAGAACCTATATTTTCAGTACACATGGCTCAGGATGGAATCTCAAAAATACCACTTCCTAAATCTATGACCTTAAACAAGTTAATGTACTATTTTAGAACTCTGGTTTTCTCATGTATAAAACAGAGGTAACTCAGAAGGATAAGCATGTGACACAGAGAATACAATGAGATATTATGTATCAATTAGCTTTGTGCTTAGTCAGTGATATGCATTCAACAAACAATCATTTCTATCTCTCTCTTTCCCCTTGCATGATAAAATGTAGCCATAGATTCAGCCCTGAAAAGTAATGTCTATCATGGGTGTAATTATACTCCAGAATGCTAGGTGTAAATTATTTTATCTTTCAAGTGTGATTTTCTCAGAATGAGACTTTACTGTGAGGCTCGTCAAGGTCATTGTGTTAAACAATTCTGTCTGCATCCTCAAAGTCAGAGGTCTAACTAGGCTGCATAACAGTTTGACTGAAAAGGCACTATGCAAATCAAATGCATGCTGTCACTGTTATGGATACGACTGTTCATTTTTAGATGCATAGAAGGTTTCTCAACTGTAAGGAAGAACTTTGGCTCAGTAAGCAGGTTAGTGTGATTGATATTTTACTATGCAAGAGAGCAGAACAGAAATGAGTTCAACTTATAAAGTGTAAATTCTGTATCTCTTTATATGCATATATAAATATGAGTAGAAGAGGATAAAGTGAAAAAAAAAGACAGAAAGACAAACCAAAAGAAAACAAAAGTAGAGAGAAATTGAGAGGCAAAAATAGGACAGAAAGGCAGAGAGAGAGGGAGACAGGAAGACAGACATAGACAGGAGGAGAGGGAAATGAGCAGGTCTGAATTAGACTAGAGAAACAGAGATTGGATGGACAAAGAAGCAGAAAGACAGTTGCAAAGACAAAAGATAAATGCATCTAGTGTAGTTGTACTGTTTTCTCATCTGAGAGAAAAAGAAATGATCCTTATTCATCCTTAGTGGAGCGTAGTTATTGTCAAGGGGAGGTCACTAGGGAAGATGTGTGCCTCACAGCAAAGACTGCTGTCTCTTTGTAGTATTTATTTGAACAGTGTGTGCCCCATGCGCACATTACTTACCTTGATTATTCTTTGAAGGAATATATTAGACCCTTTATTTTTATATATGACATATATCAGACATTGTACAACATAACTCAAAACAGTATTTGAATCATGTTCAACACAAATAATATGTGTCCATATGTGAAAGCTGCAAGGAGAGTCAGGATGGAAAGAAGTTGAAAAGTAAAAAATCACACAAACAAAATCCGAATTGTGCTTATTTGCTCTTAGTTTTAATACAATGAGAAGGAAATGAGAGAAATAAGCATTATTACCATAAATGTGTATCCATCTGTCTTTGTTAGACTCTAATGCATAGTAAACAAATTATTTTAAAATTAAATGACTTCTTCCTTCAGCACTTTTATGCAGCATAAGTCCGTCGAAGATTTCTGACAAGAGCAAAATATATGAGCAATCACTATGTAAACAGAAAATACTATATTAGGCAGAGAATTGAGCTCTAACTCTGGAATCAAATTCAGAACAATGGACAGTGTCAGTGGGTTTAGAGGGGACTAGTAGTGTAATAACGGAAGAGGGGACATGAGAGAAAAAAGTCACATAATTTTAATTTTGATTCATTCAAATTAATGCATATTATAAATATACATATTATCTTTATGCACATGAACATATAGCACATTATTCCACAAAGTTAGGAGGCATGCTCAGCTAGGACAAAGATGATATCGGTACAGAACTACAGTGAATCAAAGAGAAAAGAAAGAAAAATAAACACTTCCACCTTTCTCTGACAATCCTCAGCTTCTCACCTTGGGTGCCATGAAAATTCTCTTATCATCCTTCGGTTGCTATATGTGGCAGTTACACGTATTGAGAGGAAAAAGAACCTTATAAAAACAATGGAAAATGTGTCCATCTAATGGTGGTGTTTTGACCAGAGTTTGAGGAAAATCAAGATGATTGAGAAAGTAAAGGATGATGTCACCCTTTAGATCAGGTGTACCCATGTGCCAGAGGAAAGCTATTAGAAATGGAATATGGATTTTCAAAGCTTACCTTTAATGTCATTAACAAAGCAGACCTAAGGGAGTCACAGACATAGTACATCGTAAAAGAAAATAGCCAAATCTATGTAAAATAAGAGTATTTAATACTCATCATGATGTTATTAACTATTTATAGCACTATAAATTTATAGTATCTGTAAGGATCAAAGTACAATTATAGTTTTAAATTATGTCTTTGAAAAATATATATGGCTATGCGTTCTTTTCTCATAGTTGATTCCAGGCCTACAGAAGAGAAATGGGGCATGGCAGAGCCATTGAGTCCAAAGAGCTATATATTTGAAGAACTTGTCATGATAAACAAAAATCAAAGCTTTTAAAGTTATAACTCCCCAGAGTAGGAACAAGCGAAGGACACCAATACCATTACCACTGTCAAAATCTGTCCATGGCATTAAACTTTTCAATCTGCTTTGGTTTGGCAGAGTAAGGTCATTCCAATTCCCTGGGGTATCTTTCTTTCAGCGATGCCTTGGCTCTTCGTGAATGATTTACTTGATTGGCATTTATATATTCTGCTGCTTAAAATCATTCACATGACTAGCATCCTTCAGAATATAAACAGAGAGATTCTAACACAGTGTTTCACAAACCACATCCATTCTTATATGTGTTTTCTCCTGCTGATTGAAATGGGTCTAATCTAAACAAATTGAGGTCTCTCTTTTCTCATCCATATGTATGTTTCATGCCTGTCAAAGGTATATTACTGCAAATTATGAATAATCATGTTTAGCCTCCTTTATTATGCTCAGTTGGAAAACACTTATTTTCTTTTCAAAATATTTTCATATAAAACATAGGAATTGAAGATCAACAACTGAAGTTTCTTCTGAAACTGAAGAAACAGATATTTACAGAGTATTACTTATCAGTTAAATGATTACTTCAACTGGGTTCAAATTGACTTTTGCCATCATTTTTTGCTTTTTTTAAAATAATATAAGATATATTCTTTCTCGCTAGGGAGTGATCATTTCTAAAAGTAAGAATTTTTTCAATTATGAGCATTGAATTAACAATGTATCTCAAATTTGATATATTAGAGAAACAGCATTTTTATGAAATGAAGCTTTCTTTGTAATCATTTTACAGTTGTTTTACTATGTAGTTTTTAATCTGTCAAAATATTTTAAAAGCATGTGTACATATTTTTGCATAATTTGGCAAACTTGTGCCATATAAGAAACTGGCAGTGCATTATAGTAAAAATGCTATTCTTTGGATTTATTCTAATTGACCTACTTTTAAAATCTTTTTAGCAAAATACTTGAAGCATCTTAATTTGGTTGCTGGTAATTTAGAAGGAGAAAATATTTTTAAGAGAAATATATTCTAGGGAAAATAATCTTAATCAACTACTAGACAATATGGTATGGGCATAAGCAAAAAAACCCATTGACTTCTATTCAAGGGATGACCAGATGTCCAATATAAATGAACAGCTATATAATTCCCAGTGCAGTCAGATATTCATTAAAAAATACTTAGAAGCTACTATCTAACTAGGTCCTCTTCCAGGGGTTTGGGATACATCAACGAACAAGAGAGATAAATATCCTTGCATATCTGAAACTTGCATTCTAACAGTGTAAGATAGGAACTAGCCATTATGTATTTTTTTAAAAAAAGTGATAATTGATAAGTGTTACTGAAAAGGGGCCCTGATCCAGACCCCAACAGAGGGTTCTTGGATTTCACACAAAAAAGAATTCGTGGTGAGTCCACAGAGTAAAGTGAAAGCAAGTTTACTAAGAAAGTAAAGGAATAAAAGAATGGCTTCTCCATAAGTAGAGCAGCCCTGAGGGCTGATGGTTGCTTGTTTTTATATTATTTTCTTGATTATATACTAAACAAGGGGTAGATTATTCAGATTATTCATGCCTCCCCTTTACAGACCATATAGGGTAACTTCCTGATCTTGCCATGGCATTTGTAAACTGTCCTAGCGCTGGTGGAAGTGTAGCAGTGAGGACAACCAGAGGTCACTCTCCTCGCCATCTTGGTTTTGGTGGGTTTTGGCTGACTTCTTTACTGCAGTCTGTTTTATCAGCAAGGTCTTTATGACCTGTATCTTGTGCTGACCTCCTATCTCATCTTCTGACTTAGAATGCCTATCTGGGGATGCAGCCCCGTAGGTCTTGGCCTTATTTTACCCAGCCCCTACTCAAGATGGAGTTGCTGTGGTTCAAAGGCCTCTGACATAAGGAAAAAACAAGTGAAACACAGTAAGAGTGTTGACCACAAATGCTTGGAATGTCTGTGTGTGTGTGTGTGTGTATGTGTGTGTGTATGTGTATGTGTATGTGTATGTGTGTTGGGAGGCTGGATATTTGCAATTTTAAATAGGGTCATCAAACATTCATCCATTGAAAAAGTAAGAGTTCAGAAAAGATTTAGAAGAGGTAAAGGAATTGTCACTGTGTGTATCTATGAAAAGCACAGCAGGAACACTCCTAACAAATCCACAGAACATCTACGAGGCTAGTGTGTCTGTCATGGAGAAAGTGAAGGGAGATTAACAGAGGATGAACTCAGAGAAGTAACAAGAACTGATCACTTGGGGCTTTCGGGGCCATTGTCAGGAGTTTGACTCTTACCCTGAATGAAATGTGGATTAGTTGCAGGGTGATGAGCAAAGGAATGACATGATCAGACCAACATTTTAACCAGCCCCTTTGGCTGCTGTGTTCAGAATAGAATGTCGGGGCCAAAGTGAAAGCAGAGACATTGTTATGCGGTGAGATGAAAATGTTTACACAGCAGGTCTGCGATGAAATGATGAATTAATTCCCTTTCGCAAGGCAGTGCTCCTGGGAAACAAACACATTCAGTGAGAAGTCTAATCTCCTATTAAACATTGTCATGTTTAATGACAGACCTCCTGGCAATTAAACTACATGGTTTGTGCTAGTGAGAGACAAGACTAGCTGGATTTCCTAGGCTGACTAAGAATCCCTAAGCCTAGCTGGGAAGGTGACCACATCCACCTTTAAACACGGGGCTTGCAACTGAGCTCACAGCTGTCCAATCAGAGAGCTCACTAAATGCTAATTTGGCAAAAACAGGAGGTAAAGAAATAGCCAATCATCTATTGCCTGAGAGCACAGTGGGAGGGACAAGGATCGGGATATAAACCCAGGCACTGGAGCCAGCAAAGGCAACCCCCTTGGGGTCCCCTCCTCGTACAGGAGCTCTGTTTTCACTCTATTTCACTCTATTAAATCTTGCAACTGCACTCTTCTGGTCCGTGTTTATTACGGCTTGAGCTGAGCTTTCACTCGCTGTCCACCACTGCTGTTTTGCCGCCGTCACAGACCCTCCGCTGACTTCCATCCCTCAGGATCCAGCAGGGTGCCTGCTGTGCTCCTGATTCAGCGAGGCGCCCACTGTCGCTCCCCATCGGGTTAAAGTCTTGCCATTGTTCCTGCACAGCTAAGTGCCTGGGTTCATCCTAATTGAGCTGAACACTATTCACTGGGTTCCACAGTTCTCTTCTGTGACCCACGACTTCTAATAGAGCTATAACACTCACTGCATGGCCCAAGATTCCATTCCTTGGAATCTTGAGGCCAAGAACCCCAAGTCAGAGAGCATGAGGCTTGCCACCATCTTGGAAGTGGCCCGCCGCCATTTTGGAAGTGGCCCACGACCATCTTGGGAGCTCTGGGAGCAAGGACCCCTGGTAACACTAGGATGAGAGTCTTTACTATGAAAAGTTTTGGGCAGGATGTACTTGCTTCTTCTGTAATTGCTTCTGGTAAATAAACCTGGAATCTACAGATTCATGGGACATACTTCCTGATTAACATAATGTGAATTATGTAACTATATGAGTATGAAATTGTGATGTTCTATAATCTAAATGGCTTTTTCTTTGTAAGTGAGGTGACCATGTACTTTATTAGAAGTCTCATCTATTACCTGAAAGAGACATAACAGTGAGATGAAAAAATGACCTAGGGAGTCATACTGGTTGTCATGGAATTCTTCCTGCTTCACCTGTATTATGCATTTATATGTACCCTTGAAATTATTAATAAGCTCAATACTGGATCAAATTTCTAATTCTTGGGAATCTCATTGACAGTGTGATCCTGGGTGTTGTTACAAATGGCAATACTTCAGGCAAGAGACAATGGTGTCTCATGTCAGGATAATTCTAACAAAGATGGTGAAAATGTTCAAATTATGAATATTTGGGGCAGTATTCTACCAATGGCATGGGTGCAGCATGTAAAATAAAAAGAAAATCAAGAACAACTTAAAAAATTTTGGTCTGAATTGTGAATGTCAACTGAAGTGGGTAAGACTACAAATAGATGGGTGTGTGTGTGTTCATGGATTGAAGGTGCAGTTTTGTGCATGCCAAGTTTGAGATGCATTTTAGACATCCAAGTGGTAAATATTGATACATGATTCTTTGTGTTATGTACATGCAATATACAGGAATGGAGGGAGTCTGGGCTGGAAATATGTATTTGGAAGTGGTCATCATATTGAGGATATTGAAAGTCCTGACATTGGATGAGAAGTCCAACCAAATGTATATAAACAGGATAAACGAGGGCCGAGGACTGAACCTTGAGATGCAACATTAAAACGTCAGAGGGGGCCGGGAGCGGTGGCTCACGCCTGTAATCCCAGCACTTGGAGAGGCCGAGGTGGGCGGATCACGAGGTCAGGAGATGGAGATGGTGAAACCCCGTCTCTACTAAAAATACAAAAAATTAGCCGGGCGCGGTGACGGGCGCTTGTAATCCCAGCTACTCAGGAGGCTGAGGCAGGAGAATGGCATGAACCTGGGAGGCGGAGCTTGCAGTGAGCAGAGATCGCGCCACTGCAGTCCTGCCTGGGCGAAAGAGCGAGACTCTGTCTCAAAAAAAAAAAAAAAAAAAAAAAGTCAGAGGGAAGAGAAAGAACCAACAAAAGAGACTGCAGAGGAATAGCCTGCATAATAGGGTGTATTGAGAGCTAGGTAAGGGAAAATAAAATATTCCATGATGTCAGAGCCCCAGCTAAATTATGGGTCCAGTACTAGAGCAGCTGACAAACCTGCACTAAGGGCAAATGATGAGGAGTTGGATGTGGGTGTTTACAAACTTTATTTGTAAGTTTATTACAAATAAACTTAATATATGCATGATGTTATTTTTAAAAATAAACACATCATACTTGCGACCAGGGAAAACTTACACTGGCAAGCCACATGTGATTCTTGTCTGACCTGTGTCTGGTTTACGCCTGCCTGGTCAACACTTTGGCATTGGGAGCTTGACGTTGTATTCTCCCCAGTGTTCCAGGGAAAACCCAACCTGAGGCAGCTCCTGATTCTTCAGATGGAAAGTGCAAATTTAATGTAACACCAAAATAAGGAACAAGTTCAAAGACTTTTACTTGCAGACTCCAGGATCCAAGTAAGGGTGTGTGGGAGGGTATAATGAGTCTGGAGGGCAGTTCTTTATCCTGGAGTCATGGCAGGCAGAAATGAAGAGTCAGACAAAGAGAGAGAAACGGGTGGCAACTAGCACACTATATAAAGATTAGGGTGTGGGCCTTCAAAGTTCAGAGCAAATGACTGAATGGTCCCTTTAAAGAAAGGGGCAAGAAAGCAGCGTTCAGTCTGCTAGGCAGAAGACATGCCTCTAAATTTTTATATATGACCACCAGTTTCAGCCCTTTGGGTATGCTGTAGGATGAAAAACTGTGTAAAGGGTGACTGAGCCCTGCTTCTAGTATGAGAAAGCAATACTAGTATTCAAAATGGATGCTGAAGCAACATAAACTGATAGGAAGTCATTATACAGACATGGCTGGGAAGTGAATGTTGTAGTGACTTCGACAAGACCAGTTTAATGAAAGATTAATCCCCCATTCTATAATAAACATATGAGTCTTTACAAATAAATGTAATAAAGTTATTATGCATGTTATTTTTTAAATATATATTTCTCTAGTATCTCAGATTTCAGAAAGCTCAAATATAAATTGAATTCCCAACTGCAGTTAACCACATTTGAGGTGTTTGGATTTTTTTCTTTTCCCCCCTCCCTCTCTCTCTTCTTCCTTCCCCATCTTTTTTCCTTCTTTCCTTCCTTCCTTTTGAGAGGTTCTCGTTCTGTCATCCAGGCTGGAATTCAATGGCACAATTATAGCTCGCTGCAATCTTGAACTCCTGAGCTCATCCAATCTTCCCACCTCCGCCTCTTACATGCACGTGCAACCATGTCTGGCAATTTATTATTATTATTATTATTATGATACAGACAGGGTCTTGCTATGTTGTCCAAGCAGGTCTCGAACTCCTGAGCTTGAGTGATCCTCCCATTACAGCCTCCAAAGTGCTGGGATTACAAGTGTGAGCTAACATGCCCAGCCAGATATTTTTCTTTAGGTTGTTTTTGATTATTCTTGCAATATGATACTCTCTTTTAGGTGTTTTAGTATTTTAAATGTCCAGAGTTAGCTCATTTTTTCATAAGGATTCTTAAATCATCTAAAAATTTTATCTTTAATTTTCAGAACACAGGACCGAAGAGGAGAGGTGAAACAAAAAGTTTTAGGGGAACTCCATAACATAGTGTTGACAAAGAGGTCATTGGGGTTAGCAATCATAGTTAAGATATAAGAAATGAGAAGAGAGAGGATGAGAATAGTGAAGCTTCTATGACAGCTCAATTCTATACACTTGTGTATGTTCCCCTTAAATTATGGAATGAAAGCTTCAGGATTTGGGCAAGGTCACAGAGCCTGTGCATTCCAAGGGTCATGAGTGTTAAATGAGGGCCAGGCAGAGACTCCGTGCAGAGCCATGCATGACTTTCCCAAACACAGTTGTCGAGGACCCTCTAGCATGAATCATCTTCTGCTTCTGATATTGAATATTGCCATGATCTAAATGTTTGCTTTTCCCCCAAACTTGTATGTTGAAAAGTAACCCCTGTGGTGATGATATTTGGAGGTAAGGTCTTTTAGGAGCTGATTAGTCGTGAGGGTGGAGCATTCATAAATAGGATTAGTGCCCTTATAATATAGGCCCAAGGGAGTTGAGCTCCTTGGTCCCTTTCACCATGTGAGAACACAGGACACAGCCAAAAGGTGTGACCTACGAAGCAGGAAAGGGGCCCTCACCAGACACTAAATCAGCCAGCACCCTGATCTTAAACTAGCCTCTAGAACTGTTAAATATAAATTTATGTTGTTTATAAGCTATCCAGTATATGCTATTTTAGTTATAGCAGCCTGAATGCACTAAGATTAATATTACAATTCATTTTGGTTTGTTTCTGTGAGGTAAGGCCAATTCCCATGGACTTCTTTATCTCAGAGAATGATTTACTTGGTTCACCTCCTTTTGCTAAACAACGTTCATGTGACTACTCAATGTTCAAAAGTCTAGGAGAACCAAGGGCAGTAAATAAGAAAATACACTGAGATGTTCTGAAAATATCCAGCCATGAAGATACCACAGTGTCCCTTGGGAAACACATCTAACATATCCAAAGCAGCATGTTAATAATTTATTTTGTTTTGCTTTATCTTGTTTTTTTCTAAAAAGAAAAAAAGGAGAAAAGCCTTCTGTGGACATTTTTCTGCCAGACTGAATCTATTTTCAATCTCAACTGTATGGGTCAGATGGTGGATACCCTATTGAACTGAAGAGTCTTTGAGGAGTTTTGCAACTTTCTGGAACACATACCCATTTGAGCCAGAACAGAAGAGCAACGTATATTGCAATAGATAGGTGAAGTTTTTCTAATTTTCATTGGCCTGGTACATATTTTATTTTTACTCCGTCTATTACCATTTGTTGTCTCTAACATTACCTTAAAGAATCATACACACACAGGCACACACATGCACATGCACGCACACACGCACACAGACACATTTTGCTACTGTCTTGACTATGTCCTAGTATATAGAGCTGCCTTTTTCAGTAAGGAGTAATAATTTTGATCTTGTTAATATCTTGTTAATGAACTATTAAACTATTTAAATTATGTCATGGTAAACCTGATTCCAGTATATTTAAACTCATCCAGTTGATAACGCTGTAACAAAGTTTATGGATTTAAGCTAAATAGATAAGCCATTTGTCTACAAGGTAAAAACCGAAGTGAGTTTTTGCTGTGGTAGTTATTGAGTATTTAAATATGTGCAATGCAGACAAAATGCATCAAGATGAAAAATTTTATTTGGTGGGTAAAAAATGAGTGATAGTGTTTATCAGCAGCGATTAAGTCAAACAGAGAGCTGCCAGAGAGGAAATTCATCTGAACCATGTAAGCTATAATTATAGATCAGAAAAGACACAATATAATATGGTTTTATTAATATACCTGGCAGAAAAACATGCTGCCACACTACAAAACATTAAAGAAAATTTTACCCATGCACCATTTTCTAATGAAAATGTGTAGGCATATCCTCATTATCCTAAGAAATTTGGAGAAAACTATTCATTTTCAACATTAAGGCAGTTGGATAAGAAGTCACCATATTAAACCAGAGTTGAAAATCAGTATTTTCTATTTCCTTCTTTTTGTACCATTGTCAACAGATCCTCTCTTGTCCTGTCTCTCTTTTGTCCTTGCTGTTGAGTGGTGTGCATTGATAGTTTCTTTCTCTTCTAGCTGATTTTTTACTAGGTCTTTATTTTGCACATGACATTCCTCATCTATTTTCTCCCTCAAAATTCACCACTGCTATAAAGTCTACTCTGCTAAAACTATGGACCTTTTCAGGAACCTGTATATTCAAAAACATAGGGGAACCGATGCCAACAATTTAACTGTGCTCAAATTTTTAAGTAACGAAGTTTTATTTTATATGCTAACTTTAAAATAATGCAAAGCTATTATGAAGAGTCACAGAATTTCAAAGCTGAAGGGACACCATTATAATTCTTGTTTTTATTATTTGTATGTAGCACTAGTACCTTAGATAATATAAATGATGACCTGAGCTAATTTGTCAACATATTGTAAATCAAGCAGTTGTTGAAGTGGATCAGAACACCTGTGAGTGCTTTTGCTGATGCATAGTCTTTTATTTAAACATGTATTGTCATCATGCAAACAAAAAGTGTATTCTGTCATAATGATATAAAAGTAAGGTGTACACGGCTAATATTGGGAAGCAAGCCACCAAGTATAGTGCAGCAGAGATAGGTTTAGAAATTCATTCTAAATCAAGCTGAATTACCACCGTGATATTTCTAAAGAACACCCCCATTCAGCTTTTTATTTGCTCCTGTGGGAAATTAATCTTTCATTATGTGAGTACAAGGTCTTCATGAATGGATCCTTTGATAAAATGGAACTGTGTTGTACCAACCTCCCAGTGGTTTTCTGGGGACTAATAGAAAATGCTTCTGCATCACTTAACAAGACAACTGACTTGTGATAAGTGCTCAGTAAATATTATCTATTTTATCATATGCAAAAATAATGAGGGGAGCGTGCATGTAAAAACACAGATACAGCCATTTTTCCTTTCCAAATGGTGTTTATCACCAATACTATTTCAGAATACTTTGCAAGATATGGTGGGCTACTGAGGCCAGGGTGATTAGTATTCAAGTTAAGTAGTACTAAGTAGCCTTTTCTAGGTTAATGTTGGTGCATTAATAACATAACCATTTGTCTAAGAAGATTCATCCTAAATTGCAAAGAGAAAAAATATGAAATGGATATATAAAACACTTTAAAGTTGTACTCTCCCTCTATTTTATATATGAGGACCTCATGACTAGGTATGAGTACACATAGTGAATTGTAATAATACGTTCATTTACACCTAGACAATTATTTTCATGAATACAGGATGAAAATTATTACATTTGAATCTCATTATAATCTTTATCCCGGAAAAAAAAACATATTGGAATAAAGTGGATTTAGACTTCATGCCAAATATTTATTTAGATGAATTTGCAAATAGACCCATGCTTAAAAGTATGTGAGATTTAAATTAGCATATTAAAGACTTAATTATAATTAAATGCTATTGCATTCTATTTTTGATTCAAAAAGTTTTCAGCATTGCCTCCTTGGTTTTTATTTGTTTTTAACTGAGCTTACAGAACTAACTAGGAAAATATATGCCAGGCATTATTAGCATATCATAATATAAACATTTATTTGACATTCAGATCTTGTGTATTTTGAAGGGCAGAATAAAATAGAAGGGGAATTTTTTTTTCAGATTTTATGAGAGGTAAGCTAAATGTCTATCTTCTTGTATATTTTTGTTAGCAAAGAATCTGGATATCCATCTTGAGATCATATTTGCAAATGACTTTGATGGAACACTTAAATTTCATTTGGTGAATGACAGCTCAGAAGCTTCAAATGTGCCTGGGTGTATGTTACTTTCATTTCCTGGTGTGTGCATAGGTCTGAAGAGCTATGAGAAAATATTATCATTATATGATACTCTTGCAATCCAAGAACACCTACAAAATTACTCTTCTCAGCTGAGACGTAATGAGATTCTCTTTATGACCAGGTTCAATCTTCTTTCCTCATGGAACAGGTAGAAGGAAAGAGAGAAATTGCTCAAGATGCAAATTATGTGTACTCCTGTGACCCAGGTGAACCAGACCTTACAAACTGCCTGTCAGGGAGATGTAAATTTCTTGTAAGCAGCTAGATCACTAGACTCAAAGGAAGTTATTGATTTTCCTATAGTGTCTCCAATGCAGAAATGAAAGACTTACAAGTTTGTGATGTAGATGCTTTCTAGTCTTTCTTTTGTTAAACATGTCATTTTTCACCTGTTAATACTAGAGTTCAGATAGCATAGAGACTTGTTGGAAAATACATGCTTTTCTTCCCCCTCTGGTTATAAAGAAAACAAAAAGAGCAGAGGGAAACATTCAGTAGGGTCACAGTGGGTAAAATTCCAACATCCTCGCATCACTGTCTACTTTAATCAATACGCATTAACACAGGCTACATTATGCATATGTAAAAAATGCTTGCCATCTCAGTGAAAAATGGCACAGCAATTAAAATGTCAAAAGGCTAAGGAGACAATATGAGATTAAGTGCAGTTATAATTTTATTTTAAAATGTCTCAGTTCTCTGGTGCTCATTGGAGTGTTCTTTTTAAAATGATTTCAAATTTGGGAACATTAGCAAAACCCAGCCAGCTACTTAGTATCTTATGTAAAAACTGTATTTTTCAGTCACCTTCCTTCTTTAGCTAAATTAAATGACACATGTAGTCTTTTTTTTCTCAATGATTTAAAGACAGCAAATATGCCATTATTTTTCTTTAAGTATATGTATATACGATTTTACATAAAGTATTAAAATGAGGACTCCTTAACATGTATCTTAGCATTTTTTCATCAAGTTGAGTAAGACTTTATAGGCAAACATTGTTCAATAATAAAAATTATGCTCATTAAATTTTGAGAAATCTCTATTAATTCTCCTTTTCATATTTTTTCTCATTAAGATGCAATTTAAGTGTACCTCTCTTTCATTAGTTGGGCCATTTAAGCTAGGTGGTATACCTTTAATCTCTGAGAAAGCTTAGGTGATATGCTTGTCTACAGACAGAAGAAGGTTAGAAACTGACTTCTGATGAGACATGTAAAATAGAGTGTGCTCATGCACAATTCCTAGGCCATGCCACACAGTTCCCACTTTCATCATTCTTAGTGAACGCATAAGTGAAAACAGGAATAGAATATTTAATGTTATCTTTTATATATATATATCAGTAAGCAAAGATGCAAACCTGCATGGCTCCACCTCAGGGAACCCCAAGGGGTACATTTGTGCAGGGACTTAACCTCCCATATCAGACTCTAAGGAAGCAGAGTAATAAGACCCTGACATGCTACTGGCTGACATATAGGTTTTATTAGATTAAAAGCTCTGAAATGGCCATAAGGCAGAATGAGTCGTTGCATATTTTCTGCTTCTAGAAGGCATAGAATTCTAGTCCATAAACCAAGTGCATGAAGCTCATGTCTGTAAATCTTTTTTACATCAGTGTTGCCTGTGTTTCTTCCTATTGTTTAGGAATATATTTCCTTAAACATATGACTTATGCTAATACAGTATTTCTGATTCAATATCAACTATTTCTGTTCTGTATAAAAATAACTTTATTTATAAAATATTTTTAAGTACTTTAAAACATATATGTTCAATGATCTATTCCAATAACCCAAAGTCTGCACATAATAAATCATTCCAGAAAAAATTACTATATTTCTCTAACATATAGACTAGGCTTAATTGTTCTTCTTTATCTAATATTGTAATTAGGTAGTAGCATGATTAAAAGATCTTTATATCTGCTTAAAACCCTAAATTTCTAACTATGTTTCCTAACATTTTAAATACAATTACAATTTTTATTTTTTTAGATGTTGAGATATTGACGGTTCTTAGCTCTCCAATTATATGCCACCTCTCCTTGAACATGGAATAATCAATAGTCTAAGTTGGCCCCAAAGACTACCCCTCCAGCAATAGTTTCGCTTCTACATAATTCCAGGGAATGTCACTATAATAGATTTTACTCTCATTATTTGGTCATGTTACATAGCACACTTGACCTTAAAATAGAGCACAATTTAATCACATGAGCCTTTCTATAAGCAGAGAGTTTGTCTAGTTGAAAGCAGAAGGGAAATCAGAGAAATCTGAGGTGTGATATGGATTCAATATGAGGGCAGTTCTTTATTACAGAAACGGAAGGGGCCTGTGGCATAATCTGATAGCAGCCTGGAGGAGGTGAGGTCACTCCCAGCTGACTGATAGTGAGGCAAGAGGGACCTCAATCTTACAACCACAAGGAAACAAATGCTGCCAACACTCTGAGGGGCCTTTGAGCCAATCTTTTTGTAGTCAGGCCTCCAGATGAGGATGCAGTTGGCCAGCACCCTGATAGCCTTATGAGACCCTGAGAAGAGGACTTGGCCAAAATGTGGCAGGCTCCCGACCAACAGAAATTGTGCAATAATAAATCTGTGTTAAGTGGCTAAATTTGTGACAATGCAATAGACAGAAAAATACAGTGCTATGTGGATTAAGGAAGTTCAGTGGAAGGTATTGTATTTTGAAATTTCTAAGCAATTTTTATTTTATTTTTGATATTATTATTATTATATATGTGTATATATACATGTATACGTGTGTATATATATGTGTACATATATAGTGTGTATATATATGTGTACACATATACATATATACATATGTGTATATATATGTGTACACATATACATATATACATATGTGTATATATATGTGTACATATATATGTGTACATATATATGTGTACATATATATGTGTACATATATATGTGTACATATATATGTGTATATATTCACTATATATGTATATGTGTGTGTGTGTGTAAACTGGGGTTAGGGGAAATGGAGAGATGTTGGTCAAAGGATAGAAATTTTCAATTATGCAGAAAAAGTAATTTCTGGAGACCTAATGTAGAGCATGGTGACTATAGTTAGTAATACTATATTGTATAATTGAAATCAGCTTAGAGAGTAGGTCTTAAATGTTCTCACTACACAAAAAGATAATTATGAGAGGTGATGTATATGTTAACTAGCTTGATTGTGGTAATCATTTCATAATATATACATATATCAAAACATCACAGTGTACAGCATACATAAATATATTCAATTTTTTTGTCATTACACCTCATTAAAGCTGAACAGAAAAGCATCACTGATAAATTTCTAAAATAATAATAATAATTGGCCAGACGAGATGGCTCATGCCTGTAATACATATATACATATATATACATATATATCTGTGCATGTATGTGTGTATATATACACATATACACATATATACATATATATGTTTGTGTGTGTGTGTGTATGTGTGTGTATATATATATATATTTATATATATATATATACATATATATATATACACACACACATATATGTATATATATAACCTTTTCTTTATCCAGTCATCTGTTGGCAGACATTTAGGTTGATTTCATATCTTGGCCCCTGTGAATAATGTTGCAATGAACATGTTTTAATTAAAAATACTCATGAATGTATATATTGAATGTTCACTATGTACCAGGCATTAGGTTCCTATTTACATCAAGTTTCTCATTTGGTCTTTAAAAATACAGTGAGAGATAATACCACTGTAACTCCCACTTTACAGATAAAGAAACTGAGGCTTACAGAGCTTAAGGAATTTCCTCTGGGTGAAAATGGTTACTAAGTTTCAAATCCAAAATACAAAACCAAGCAGTTGGATTGCAGAGCTTATATGTTTACCTCTCCCTTCAGGGTTTCATAGAGCCTCAGAGCATGGGTGACCCATTCCAAACTCTAATAGAAAAACAAGCAATGTGGTTAAGACCCTAGATAATACATGGGAAATCAGTGAGTGGAGTAGGAACATCACACGGGATGGGAGGGGGGTCTTAAAAATGCATCAAAATCAGCACACCTTCTAAACCAGCATTTGCAATTTATAAAGAATTTTAGGTAATTCATCTGCACATTGAAGTTTAATTTAGGAATATAGATTGGTGCAGCCACTGTGGAAAACAGTATGGAGGTTTCTAAAAAAAAAAAAAAAGAAAAGAAAAAAACGAAAAGAAAAGAACTATCGTATGACCCAGCACTTTCTCTTCTGGGTATATATATCCAAAGAAAAATAAATCACCACCCTGTAAAAATATCTGTGCTCCAATGCTCACTGGAGCATCGTCCTCAATAGCTCAGGTACAGAAACAACTGAAGCATCCATCAAGAAGTGGATGGGTAAATAAATTGTGGCATATGTACACAATAGAAAACTATTAAACCTTAAAAAAGGACATGAACCTAGGGGGTTGCACATGGATGAACCTAGAGGACGTTACGTTAAGTGAAATAAGCTAGGAACAGAGAGACAAATGCCACAATATCTCACTCTTGAAAGCTGATATCCTAGAAGTAGAGAGAGGAGAACAGTGGTTTCCAAGAGTAGGGATATTTGAGGAGTGAGTAGGGTGAGGAGACATTGGTCCAAGGATACAAAATTTCAATTATATAGGAGGAATACTTCAAGAGATCCGTTTTACAACATGGTGACTATAGTTAGTAATATATTGTATTCTTGGAAAATGTTGAGAGTGGATATTAACTGTTCTCACCACAAAAGTAAATATGTGAGCCAATACCTATGTTAATTAGCTGGATTTAGTCATTCCAGAATGTATACATGTTTCAAAATTTCATGTTGTACGTGGTAAATACATAAAATTTTATCTGCCAATTTTTAACAATTGAACACATGTAATCATTATCCTAAGAATTCCAGAAAGGTGAATATGAATTTCTTGTTTGATGATACAGCCTCAGGCAAATCATTTCATCTGTCTTCCTGACAGTTTCACACTTCTATAAAACAGAGATAAATTATCAATTTTTAAAAAGATTTAATTATGTCTAATGTTCAGCATATTGTCTGCCACAACATAATTAATAAATAATAAGTCGTTTTAGTTTTGTTTTTTGTTGTCGTTGTCATTGTTGTTTTTTAATGATGGAGGTAAACCAAGGAGGGTAGGGGTTTTAAAACCTCTTAGTTTTCCCTTCTCTCTGGAGCCCAGCAGTGGCTTCATGAGACCAAGTGTCTACTTTGCGGATCCAGTCTCCTGGTAGTACGGATGGGCTATAGAGGAATTCCAGAACGAGATGGGAAAGGCTTAGCAGGCCCACAGCTCCGTGAGCTGTTATCATGAAATAGCAGCTTGGAGCTGGAGTTAGCTATGTGCTTACCTTTCCCCCGAGAACGGAACTGCACTGATAACGTGAAATCGTACCATTTCTCAACAAGTGAAGGTGGTCTCTTTACATTCTCAAAGCCTTGAGTCATAACTATCTGTTTTCAAAAGTTGACATTATCAGATCAGTTACTGTGAAAACCAGAAACGTTTTATTTTAGTCTTTTTATGTGAGTAAAAGATACAATAAAATCTTGGTAATTAAATATATTGACTTAACTGTTTTCACTTATACTCCTTTAAAAAGCTATTTTTTTAAAAGCCTGAATCATTGCTTCTCTGTATATTTAATCTTCAGTCTTGGAATTGCTTCTGAGGGGAAAATTACTTTTAAAATAATTTTCTTTGCAGTTAGGAAAATGAGGACCTATAGTCCTAACATGCTCTTGATTTGTGAATTACTTGTTTCACTGCTCAGGGAACAAAATTATTGGCAGTGGAAAAATTGCACACACAAAAAAAGAGTTAACCCTTTTGGTGATTTAATCTCTTGAGGAAGGATTTCAGCAGGGTACAAAAACTGATAAGATATTTATCTACAAGTCACAGAATGGCTTATCAACTTGATCCTTTGATTATTTATAAATACTATCATAAGCCTATTAAGTTCTAAGCTGGTATTTCCCAAAGTGAGTTCCTTTACTTCATAATGCCTCGTTCTTACAGCTTATTACACTTTTTTAATAGTCCCAGGAATTTACATTTATTCTAATTTCATCAGTTTAAAGGCAATAAAGTGTTCACAAACAGAGTTTCAGTATCAGGCTGCATGTATTTGAATCCAGAATCTACCACTCAAAGGCTGTGTGACCTTGGACAAGCCATTTAACCTCCCTGTGCCTTGGTTTCCACATGAGTAAAATGGGTGTGGATAGACTCATGGCAGGTAGAATTAAATGGATTAATTAATGTAAGGCACTGATGTACAAAAAGTGCGTAAAACACCTTAATGATTTATGTAAGCTGCTAAATCTCATTTCTTAACTAAACAATTCTTTTTATCCCCTCAGCTAAGGCCAAGACTACTCTGTGAGGTTGTGCAATGTGTGTGCTGCACAATAGTGCCTTGTGGAGGGAGCCGGAGAGTCTAAAATTCCTTCTCTGCCACCATCACCAAGCTATGTGCTCTTAAGCTTGACCTGTTAAGAGCTGGTCTGTTTTTCTGATTTGTCCACCTAGAGGGGATATCTTTTTTTCTAACAAAGGTACTAGTAAAGGTATACCTTATTAGAATATCTAAGCACAGGTCTGTCTGGCCCAGTGCTTATGACTGATAAGATTTGGGGCATTACCTATTAACAAAAACATCTGATTCCATTTCTTTTGGCCACCCCAGATCTAGGAGCAATCTCAGTTTTTCTGTTCTTAAGTATTTGTAAAGCTACAGTTTTATCTGATAGCCAAATGTTCAGCATAGCTATACATAAATTCTTATGTTTCATATATATATATGTGTGTGTGTGTGTTCTATATATATACATATATATGTTCTACATATACATAAGTGTTCTCTCTCTATATATACATATATATATAATTACATTTGCTGTTCATTGCTAGTTATTGAGTACTGAATGAATAGTAGGCTGCAAAACCATAAGGATATTATATTATGCACTTGACTTTGAGGGCTTTGCATTCTTTTCAGAAGGCAGGTACAGTACATTTAAAATAGTGAAACAAATTAGACATTAAATATGTAGCAAATATTAACTCACTTTGTGAATAATTAATGATAATTGTCATATTAAAAAGTGTTAGCAGACAAGGAAGACAAACATTTCACAAAAGAATGGAAAGGGAAAAACCAAAACTTTTCTACAGAATATTCATACCTGAGTGGATGTCGATGTAAATGTAATATAGAATTAAAGCTATTTCCAAGGTTTTAAATCAACGATCATTGAAACCATGTACTAATGTGTACGTACTTGAATGAAATATTTATTGAATCAATTAATTTATGAGCGAAATATTTTATTTTATTATTTATTATTATTTTTTGAAACTTGCTCTGTCACCCAGGCTGGAGTGCAGTCACATGATCTTGGCTCATTGCAACCTCCGCCTTCCAGGTTCAAGCAATTCTCTGCCTCAGCCTCCCGAGAAGCTGGGATTACAGGCACCTGCCACCATGCCTGGCTAATTTTTGTATTTTTAGTGGAGACAGGGTTTCACCATCTTGGCCAGGCTGGTCTTGAACTCCTGACCTTGTGATCCACCCAGACGTGGTGGCTCACGCCTGTAATCCCAACACTTTGGGAGGCCAAGGCAAGTGAAATATTTTAAACATGAGTCAAAGTTTTTCTGTTTACTTATTACTGACTTTAAGTCTGTTGAGGTTGGAGATTAGATCATTCATGTAGGATGTATAGAGACTCTACTGAAACTCAGGTGAGATCTTTCTAGAGGTTCAGGAAGCAGAAGAAACAGAATAGAACTAATCAGGGAAAGCACTGCTTATTCTGCATTGACTGAGTACTTATACAATTTGGGAGATTTTCTTAAAATTCTTGCTAAGGATGGCTTGAGATTGGGTCTAGAAAAACATATAGGACAACTCAAGCAAAATAAATTGAAGCATTACGGTAAAGACCATGGCAGGCCTTTAAAAGACAGTCACCCAGTAAAGCAGTAGGATGTAGTTTAGTGCTGTATACTGTAAAATTGAGCATGCAATTTGGAATTACACATTTTAGTGGGTAGACTTGTGTCCCTCAAGAATATATGTTCACATTCTAATCCTTGGTACTTATAAATATGACCCTTTTTAGAAATAGGGTCTTTTGAGATGTAGTCAAGTTAAAATGAAGTCCTACTTAGTTAAGGTGGGAGCTAAATTCAATGATTAGTATCTTTTGTTTATTTATTTTTTGAGACGGAGTCTTGCTTGTCACCCAGGCTGGAGTGCAGTGACACGATCTTGGCTCACTGCAACCTCTGCCTCCTGGGTTCAAGCCATTCTCCTGCCTCAGCCTCCCCAGTAGCTGGGATTGCAGGTGTGCACTACCACGGTCAGCTAATTTTTGTATTTTTAGTGAGACGGGGTTTCACCATGTTGGCCAGTTTGGTCTTAAACTCCTGACCTCGTGTTCCGCATGCCTCGGCCTCCCAAAGTGCTGGGATTACAGGCATGAGCCACCATGCCCAGCCAGTGGTTAGTATCTTTAAAAGAGAAAGGAGAGGAATATTTGAATACAAAGATGCAGGGGAGTTATACAAGAAAGAAGGCCATTCAATGACAGAGTTGGAGATTGGATTGATACAACTAATCAAGAAATCAAGGAATGCCACGGAGTGACAAGAACCACCAGAAGCTAGGAAAGAGGAATAAGATGGGTTTTTCCTAAGAGGCTCCAGAAGGAACCAACTCTGCTGCTTTCTGACTTCTGGCCCAAACTGTGAGAAAACAGATTTCTGGCCTTCTGAACTGTAAAAAAAATCAATTTCTGTTATTTTAAGATGCCAAGTTTGTGCAAATTTGCTATGGCAGCCTTAGAAAATTAATATAGATCTCTTCAAATGCATTCCCACCTCTGCTATGTGATACTAGTTACTTCTCAAAATCTTCATTGGCCATTTAATTAAAATAAACTAAAATCCATAACTTTAGTGAAGGAATGTGGACAGTAGCAACATATAATGCACAACTCAGAAAACTGTGAAGATTACATGAGACAATGTAGACAAAGTACTTAGAGTGATTTTGGAAATGCAGCAAATACTTAATAAATAGTAGCTTTTAGTTTTAGAGGGAGCAGTTGGGACATATGGATGAGACTCAGAGGTGTATGAAGTTGGCATAGAAAGAACAAACAAGCATCAAAATCCCCATCACAGGAAAAAAGTCTTTAAGTACTTAATAGATTTGTAGGTGGTCGTGAAGAAAAGGGGCGCTGTACAGGAACACAGTCCTAAAGTAGCTGGTATACTGCTTAGGAAATCAAAGAGCAGAAAAATAACATGGTTTGTGTACTTTAGGATGGAAACCACTGGTGTGAGTTAGTAAGGAAGGAAAAGCAAAAATCAGCCAACTCTGAGGTTGTGCACAGATGTACTGACCACTACCAGATGAATATGATATCTGATAATGATACAGCTTGGCTGTGTCCCCACCCAAATCTTATCTCGAATTGTAGCTCCCATAATTCCACATCTTGTGGGAGGGAACTGGTGGGAGATAATTGAATTATGGGGGGACAGTTTTCCCCATACTGTTCTTGTGGTAGTGAATAAGTCTCAGGAGATCTGATGATTTTATAAGAGATTTCCCCTTTCTCTTGACTCTCATTGCCTTTGCCTGCCACCATGTAAGATGTGCCTTTTGCCTTCTGCCATGATTGTGAGGCCTCCCCAACCACGTGGAACTATGAGTCCATTAAACCTCTTTTTTTTTTTTTTTAAGATAAACTACCCAGTCTCAGGTATGACTTAATCAGCAGCATGAAAATGGACTAATACAGATACTTTTCAAAAAGATTAGGGATTAATTAATTACCAATACCTACTCTTGGAGATACGATTTTCTTTTTTCTTGATAGGGCAAATCCAGTGGATTCCAATTGTTCTTTATAGAGAAAATGTGACTTCTGTCAACTCCACTTAATTAAGAGTTTACCTTGGATTTTAATGTTGGGAGCAAGCAGAGAAAAAAAGAACAAACATCCTCCAAAGGGAACAAGAATGCATTATAAACTGAGTGAAAAGTCAGAGACAAATGCCCAATGTGATCCTCAAGATAAAAACGAAAATGGCCATTGTTGATCAAATGGCATTAGTTCACTAAGAAAATGGTCCTGGAAATTAATTTTGCTAAAATGTCTTTGATGAAAGCAAAGTAAGTACAGAATGAGAATAACAAAGAGTTGGAGAATAATATATTAATTATCACAGTAGATAAATTTCTGGAAATCTGACTGGATGAACAAAGTTAAATTTCCATAAGAACATACTTCAGGAAGTAATATCACAAAGATGTGTCTGTATATACATTTATAATATATGTCCATTTGCAATAAACAATATGTCTGAAGCTTCCTGAAGGTAATGGCTAAGCTGATCCTATTTCATGTGGTCTTGTCTTGTTTAGCAGGTGGAAATAGACAATACATAGTCATTCAGCAGGCTGTTGTTTTCATATGATACAAAGTAAAGTTGATATAACTGTTTAGATGGAACAATCACAGCATGGCTTACTTTAAGAGAAAACCCAAGCTTCCCGAGTTTATATATGATTTATTTTTTCTTCATCTATATTAAGCAATAGTAAAACTAAGCCTTGATAGGGGGACACTTCCAATCTTTTACATTTTAGTTGAATTAAAAGATATCTCCTTTTCAAAAAATAAGACCTATAAATGATTTGTTTTCTAGGTAACTAGTGTACAATGCTCCTTCCCTCTGTTTGGTAGCTAAAGGTCTACAGTTATGAGAAAATGGAATAACGTAATGGGGTAGAGGCCATAAAATATTTTAAACACATTACCAAGTTATTTTTTCTATCTTCTATTTTTAACTTATACAAAACATTTATTCATTTTGTGTTAACAACTTTGTTATTTATTCAGTCTGTTGTTAAATGTTATGAACATTTGAAAATTTAATCCTGATTGATACAAGGAGGAACATAAAAATATCTATAACAAAAATGTTTTCATGACCCCGTTGTTAAAAGATTAACCTTTTTTAAGGCCATGTTATGGGGACTTTTACTTGAGTGCTTACCATCAAGTATTTTAGATGTATTTCATTTATATTATTGCAAGGATTAAAATTAAATATGCTGTAAGTGGGAGAATTTGTATTATGATGGCTACTAAGAGTATTTAAAAGCATTATAAGTTTTCACACACCTCATTAACTAATATTGATTAGAATTTCGGAGTTAAAAATGTTGCTCATTTTACAGGTCATTACAATTAAGTGCTTACAGCCACCAGAATCATATTTTGGTAAAGTGTGTATTGCATAACCCAGGCACATTTTCATGCTAGAAAAATGTTTAAATGATATGCATTGCTTTGTATGATGGAAAGATAGGCGATCATTATGGATCTATTGCAAGGCACTGAATTGGAATATATTCAGATTGAATTTCTGAGCTGTGTTGTGCTTCAGAAATTTCTATATTCTCATCTCAATACTTAGACCTTCTCTTTCTCTACTCATCTGTGAAGATGATAATTCACTCCTTCATCAGTGCTCTATTTTGTACCTTCGATGTCCCTACTGTATGTCTGTCTCGAAACTATTGATTCAACAAAGAACTTTCTGCCACAGTTTATACCATTTTGGAGATGAAATACTTAACTGAATGTTCTCTTGTTCATTTAGCCACTGCTCACCGTTAGCCTTGCTTTCTTCCTTTCTATATACCCATATTTCTACCTAAATGGGTTAAAAAATTGATATATTGTGTGTTTATTCTTTGGAAGAGTTAACAATTAAGATTGTAGACAAAAGCATCACAATGGGAAAAACTGCCTTAGAGTTTTATTTGTGGAGAGTCAATATGAATTTGTCAAGGACCTATCAGGATCAATGTGGCAACCTAGCTCACCATCACTTTTGTGATATTTCAGTAAATAATTAAGAATCTCTTTCATGAACGAGCTGACAAATGTACTGGAAAGAACAAAGGCCTCATAAAAAGGTATCATGTGATAGAATCCTAGATCCCCCTCATTGCTAGCAGCTGTACGGACTTTGATAAATATTGATAGTTTATATATTGTACATGCACACATACACAGATATATATACACAGTTAGTTTCACATAATTGCATATATGTGATTTTGTCACAAATGGCCGTAGCTATTTTCTCACACAATGCAACTGTCTTGACGTGGAGTTGAAGAAAACTGGATTCAAGTTTCTATGTTCCCAGAATCTCCCACCTTTTCCAAAAAGCAATTTAATTTCTGAAAACCTTAGTGTCTTCTTCTGCAAAATAATGAGAAATACTTGTGCTTGAGTCCAACTCTAGGATTGTAGTCCCCTTTTTATAATATAATCAAGTTCCTCCATCTGGGCATTCAGTTAAATTCTACAACATTGCCGAAATCTGATTTGACTCTACAGAATATATATAGTCTATTTAACCAGATAGTAATTTAAAATTTTACAACATGCGTATTTTATGTAATATTAATAACAGTAATTTAAATTAATATTCAATACATACGGTTTGAATTTTTATAAGGTAATATTTGTTTTTAATTTTTTATTTTAATTTGTAACAAGCTCAAAATTATTACGTCAAAATGTGGAAAGACTGCCATTTTTGGTTTATAACAAGATGGTAAGAAATGCTTATAAGATTCTTACCAGTTAATCTAAGCAGGTAGAGAACCAGTATTAGTTAAACTTGGATATAGGAAAGATGCCTCCACATAACGAATAAAACACACTGCACATTTTTATCCCAATTTTCTTTTTACTTTTAGTGCAAAATCTTAATTAAAATTTTGACTGTGAGGCATTGACCAGGAGGCCAAAAATAATCAAAAGAGTTCAAATCTATGTGTCTTTATTGCACTTGAAGACAAAATTGTAACTAACACTGTTATGATTAGTAGTACATTAATTAAAATGGTTTAAGCTGGCAGTAATATAAATCAATGATCCTTTTCAAGTATTAGTTGGATAAAGTTAACATTAACTCAATTCTGCTTATTTTCTGGAAGTATTTTAAACTGTAACCAATAGATATGATATTTAAAATTTACTGTTTTTCAAATCTTAGAAGCTAATCATATTTCTAAACAGTTAGTGGATAAATTAAGAAAAGAACAACTTATATTTCTAGGGAAAATGATTTATTTTCTAAAATTTGCACTTACTTGAGTAGATAAAAGGACTGACTTTCAGAGATCACAATCACAGATTTATGTTTTGGTAGAAGTGGTCTGAGAATACTGGTAAAAATATACAGATGTTAGAGTATAACAGAATGAATAATCAGTACGTCAATAAACATTCTGAGAATCTGCAATTTACTGGTTGACTGCACTCTCCTTGACAAAGGTCTTTTTTTTTTTAAGTGGCAGTATGACTTGTCATTTATTTCAATGAAAATTTAAATGTTTCTTACAAATCCTCTGAAAAGTAAAACTGATATTTTTACAAACAGAAGTATATGCAAACAGTCACAATATGCATTAGGACACTGACGCTATTTCTTACATGCCAAGTAGTTCCTCCATTCTGGAGAACACCTCTTATCTGAAAGATTTTTTTTCTTCTACTATAAATTTGAATCTAAGTTATTTTTAAAGAGTCAAAAACAGAGCAGAACATTTTTGAACTGATAAACAAGAATATAGGCTGGACTCAGTGGTGCACGCCTGTAATCCCAGCACTTTGGGAAGCCGAGGCAGGTGGATCACGAGGTCAGGAGTTCCAGACCAACTTGACCAAGATGGTGAAACCTTGCCTCTACTAAAAATACAAAAACTAGCCAGGCATGGTGGTGGGCACCTGTAATCCCAGCTATTCATGAGGCTGAGGCAAGAAATTGCTTGAACCCGGGAGGCAGAGGTTTCAGTGAGCCGAGATCGTGCCATTGCACTCCAGCCTGGGCAACAGAGTGAGACTCCATCTCAAAAAAAAAAAAAAAAAAAGGAATATTATACATTTGTATTATAGTTCCACTCCAAATACGATAGCTAAAAGACAAATCAACCTTCTCTTTACAGAACACAGGCTCCAAACATAAATTTTTGTCTTATATGCTTTAGGTTTATGTATATATAAAACCATTCACCAAAGACATGCTTAATTTTTGAGATTAAGGTGTAAATTATGATGCCTTATTTTGGTCTAGAGTGTATGTAAGGTTAGTATGTTAAGCATTGTTCAAAAATACTAGTAAGTCATAATTATACAGAATTTTCACAAAGTTAAATGCACAGAAAAAGCCTATGATTTTGGTTACTGATCTATCTTAACGCTACTTTCTTTTAAAACAGACATTTAACATAATACCCAAGTTACAGTAACATTATGGGCTTCTCCTCCCATTGGCAATTAAATGCTTTTCTTCTGAAAAGATGACATAGACCAACAGGTCCATATCAAAAAAAGAATCAGACTTGCCAGCAAGATTGGTAGACTCTTCCCAGCATACAGCTGAGTGCTGAAGGAAGAAGAAAGTTTAAATTGTTTAAAGGACTATAATTATCACACAACATTTATTAAGAAAAAAGAAGAATGGATCTAGTATAACTAATTCTGAGTAAACCAAAATGATAAGAACTAATTAAACACTTCTTAATCCCACATTTTTGGCAGGTGTAATTGAGCCATGGTCTTATTTGATTTTGTTATGATTGCATCCAAATTTGCTTAAACTCAGAGTTCTGTTTAATGGTAGGATGTAAGAATTGAATTTTGAAAAACTACTCACTGTCAAAATCTCTCCTTCCTACAGGAAATTTAGCTGAGTTTTCTTCATCCCCAGTTTCTCTCTTTTCTTGTGTTGATTCGGTATCCTGAACCCCATTCTCAGCTGGAAAAGCTACAGATCCTTCTAGTGCAAGATAAGGTTTTATAACCAGATTCAGTGACAGACCATGATTTAAGAAATTATGTTTTTTCTTTGGTTTTTGTGACAGCATAATCCCATTGTTCTACTACCCTAGCAGTTCCTCCCTAGACAATGAGGCCAGTACCCCTTCCTCTACTTCATATAGGCTTTCTTTTTTACTCTATACTGTAATCCTGAATGCTTTCATGCATCTCATGGCTTTCATTATCATTTCTATTTTGATAAGTCCCAAAATGATATCTTCTGTTTATATTCAACTTTAGAATGCCAGACCTGTCATCTCTAGTTGCCTATCTCAGAGGCACCTTAAATTCAACCTGTTCAAAAATCATCTTGTGCCTTAACCCAGATTCACTGCTTCTCCAATGTTCCCTGTTCCAGTTTATAGCAACACCATCCTCAGTTTCTCATTCCAAAAGCCCAGGAGTAATGTGTAAGTAATAGATTCTGGAACCAAACCACCCTATGGCCGTACAACTCTGGGCAAGTTATTTATTAACCCTTTGATTTACTTTCCTCATCAATGATGTTTGAGTATAATAGCACCTACTTCTTATGGTTATTGTGCAAATTAAATCTACTAATACATGTGAGAAACTTAATGATTAGTACCTAGCAATGCATTATGAGTGTTAACTATTGCTTTTCCTCTTATATTTTTTAACTTTTATCTTCTTTGCCTCAGACCCACAATCAGTGAATCGCTAAATTCTCCTATTTTTAACTCCAAAATATTTTTCAATTCTATTCTGTTTGTTTTCACCATCTTGGCCAAGTCCACCATCATGTTCTAATTGCAGATCTACTCATATTGCTGCCTTGCTTATGGCTTCACAGTATTCTCATGGAAAAAACCCCAAAAGATTCGGTAATATAAAATCCTTGCTGGCCAGCCTGGCTTTAGAATACTTCGTCTTTCAGAATGTGTGTCCACCACCTCCTCCTCTCTAAGGCTTTTACTCCACACACCTTCCAGTCTCACTAAAGAACTAAGGATGCTCTTCTCTCCTAATGAAGTTGTGTTTACTTCTCAGGTCTCAACTTACATACAAATTTTTCCAGAGAATTTCCTGAAACACTCACCTCTCTCACGAGACTAACTTGCTCCAACTACTCACATAGATAGTATAACATTTATCATTCTAATTAAGTAATAATGTGTAGCTTTTTTATTCACATCTGTCTCAAAGGTAGGGACAGTGAGAGAGAATCATGCCATTCAAATAGAAGTTTTATTCTCAGCATCCAGCACATCAATTCACCATAGTAGAAGCTCAGTGAGTATCTGTCCAATTAATGAATAAATGTTGAGCACTGTAAGCTACCCTTATGGATACCATAGTTTAATAAGGAAGCAGAGAGTTGGCAAAAATAAATTTGAGAAGTATGATAATGGATACATTAAAAAGTGCCTTGTTGTCCACTAGGAGGAAAGGTTTTAATTTAATCTGAGTTGATAAAGAAGGCCTACATAAGGAAGCTTTGTGATTTCAGGCTGAGGATAACAGTGAGCAGGAGTTGGCTCTGTGAAGGACCTGAAATGTGAGGAGGACAGACTGAGAGAAGATCACCTGCAAACTCTCTGAAGCAGACGGTGTAGTCTGTGTAGCACTAGAATGCAGATGTCCACTTCACATGATGGTGTGAGTTTGCACAGGGCCATTTCCTTGGTGACCTGTGTGTCCTAAATCCAAGGGGACTCTCCCAGAACATTCTGTTGTGATAAAGATTCTTGGGATTTTCTGATTCCTGAGATGGGAAGAACTTAGTCATGTAATGGCAAGTTGAGGGCTCAGGATATGATTCAATTTTAATAAAAACAATAACAGCAATAAAGAAATGTGTCAATATTTGCTGTAAGTTTATAGACTAAAATTCTTAGTTTATACATATGCAGCCACAAATACACACACACACACACATGCACAGAGGCAGTTGTGAAAAAACACATACAAATATACAGGATTGGATGAATGCGAAAGGAAACTTACTTCTCTTTTTACTTTATACACTTTTAAATGTATACATTTCTCTGTTGTTTGAAATTATTGTGTGGCATTCTTTTGGCATTACTTATGTAATCAAAACTCTCAAAAGCTAAGTAAAAATTAAGTAGAAATACATTTCAAATTTAGCCAATAGCTTGTCTAGTATGTCTGACTTGACTTTATGGTATGAAAAATGTGCCTTTTTTTAGCTGAGAAATCATCACACTTAGGTATACCTTGGAGAAAGGTAATATGTGACAATAGCACTCGGCAAAAATTATGATGAGCTATTGTTTGTATAATTTTTAATCACTCATATTTAAGACTTGATTTTCTATGCTGATACTAACATGGGATTTCTCTGCTTCAAGCCATCTAAATTAGCTATGCAAAGGGGTGAAAGTTCCGGGGATTTGTTTGGCAACACGTTTCTGAAAGGCCGTTTGGTGCAGCTGCCTTCCATTTGTTTCATCAAGAGACTAAGCTAAACTAAAGTAGTTCTTCATGATGAACTGGCAGGAAAGTGCCAAGATAGTTTTATTGCTTAGCAACTTGGCAGGAGGAAATGTTAAAATATTACAATCTCTCATATCTATGAACTGAGACAGGCTTTCAACTGATGGCTCTCCAGCTCGAACGTGATTAAGATGCAGCCACATGGCCCTGGCTTATATTTTGAGCTGATAGGAGGAAGATAGGGAAGTTGGATACTTTTAAATGTATAAATAGTAATTTCTCAGAAAACATTTGCTGATCTGAGCCAAATGCTAATCTGAGGAATTAAGCTGTCTCCGTTGTGATGTTGATAAGTACTGCAACCCCTATTGATCAATGGGATTTCCTTTGCATTTCAGAAGGAAGGATACGTCTATTGAGAAATTGCACGCCAAGTAAAATCCTGAGATAAACAACTTTATGCAAGAGAAACTGACAGTTTACCATACATTTTTGGAATTTAAAGAGTTGTTGTGGTGTGCTTTCTTTTTGTGCAAATTATGGAATAGATGAAAGTGACAGAGTGATGACACCACCTAAATGGAAGCATAATGTAGACGGTTATTGCAGATGCCTGACCACACAGCTCTGCCAGCGCACATGCTTCCTGCAAACCTCCTGCAATTTAAACCCTTGGGCTCCTTCAACTAATGATGCTAATTTGCCAATGGAGCAATGGCTTTCTTCGCTAAACACTCACCTACAAAGGAGTATGTATTAGCCGACAATGTATGTGCTCAGTAAAAACTGGCAATATAACATGCACATTTTAAATATAAAGACCACTTTCATCACTACATTAAATCATAGGGATTGATTTAATAAATCACAGTGTAAATAACTCTCCAGAATTATTACTATTATTTTTAATAAAGGTAATATTTGGGGAAAAATTATATGGTACTAAATTTTTCCAAAACATCAAATTATTGGGAGAAAAGTTATAGGAGTACCTGGTTCCCTGTTTTGTCTTAAAGGATTTCTGTTCATAATTGAATTTATATTAAGCATGAACAACAGTTTGCAATTGACATTGTTTCATTCAAAGCTAGTATCTTCATGTACATCGATGAGTCCAACATGTATATATATATATATATATATATATATATATTACGTATATATGTACACATATATATTCAATTATATATATAATTATACATATATAATTGAAACTCAATAAGATAAAATGTGTCATGTCCAAAATTAGAGGGAAATTTGACAGCAAAACAAAAGACTAACTAAAATCTTTGTCTCTATGATGTTAAAATTAAGATCCTGCAGATATGACTCAAGACCTATTTGATCTTATTTGTATTCAAACATGCACCTGATGTGTTAAAATTAACATAATTTAAAAAATGCTTCCATCAAATTCAAGAAGAATTCATTTAAATAACCTTTTGATAAATATAAAAGGAAGACATTCATTTTGTTTTTTTCCCCAACTTTATAAAATATCAATTATTATGGCCACTTTAGGAGCAAATTTTAAGAAAGAAAAGCAACTAAAAATGTCACTGACATTGAAAAAGACATTTAAGTGATACCTACTTGTGTGTTCTGAATTGGTTTTAAATATAGTTTTAATCTTTCTAAATTTTATATTATAAAAAATATAATTCTTTCATATTTCTAACACTTTCACATTGCAAATGAGGTACATAGGCCATTTTATTGATGAACAACTTTCAGAACCTAAATCTTCAAAATTGCTGAGCCAAGCTGCAACACTAAAATACATTATCTAAATTGTGCTTGAAAACAATAAAAGACCATGAGTACTATTTTTTAAGTACTACAAGTCAGGGAAGATTAACTTGAATTTAAATAACAAATAAAAGTTACCACAAAGGGAGCAAGCTTTTAAACTGTGAAATAGCTCTAGCTCTACAGTAGAAATCTTATGGTTTTCATATGATAATTTTTTTCAGCATATCTTTTTCTATTTTTTAATTCAAAATGTAAAAGTAAATTATACCTCCAAGACCATGTTTTTCTCATTCTTTGTTTCAACAAATTGCTGATATCTTTCAAAACTGTCATTTTCTGAAATGAGCAGTAGTGTACACAGAGAAATAAAAGAGGTTATCCAGAGAAATTGCAGGTGCTTCTCCAGCCTAACCTTAATGACAGTTTATTGCTGGTCCATGGGGCCCAGTTTTGTTTAAGCAATTATCAGACTGCTTTATTTATGGCGCCCTTGTGCCTGTTTTTGGCAATGGGGTCGCAATAAATTATCAAAATAATGTTAATGTTACAAGAATAGGCTACTTTAAAAATAGGTGGCACCAATTACAATTGAAGGAGAATAGTTAGATGAAGATTTAAATTATGCCAATTGCTCCTGGGAAATTGATGGGATGGATCGAGAGGATCTTCTCTGACTTCTAATACATGCATGTGCAGGGTTATTTCTCACAATTAAAATCAGAAATGTTAAAGGGGAACTTACAATGAAAGAGAAAGCCAATTAATCTAGTCATCATTAATCACTGAGAAAGACACAGTAGTATACTTAGTAAATGTCCTAAAGCAGCATCCAGAGAGAGGGAGAGAGACTATCAATCCCAAAAGACTCAAAAAATCTTTAGGGAGATGTAGAATTATGCCAATAGTTTGCATATTATAACTATAAGACAAAGCTGGGAAGGCCTGTTCTGATATAACTGGCATGCACAGTCACACACCTGGGACCATGTAGAATTTACTACTAAAACGTGAATGGCAATTAATGTACAAAATATGAAAAACAAAGTTCAAACAATATGTGTTTGATGTCAAGATTACTTCTAAGAAAATTTGTAAGGCAAGTTTTGAGTTGTAAGAGGCTCTTAGAAATAGAAACTGTGCTTTGTAAATCATACTGTAAGGCCAGATTAAAGAATTTCATAGAGAGATATTCACACTTAAGACTAACAAATGCTTCGATTTTAGAATAATTCATGAATTTGCTATTTTCTTCATGATGTCAGCTCATGTTTGGTTATTTGCTACTGATCATTTCATCTTCCCTTGCTTACAATTCCAGAATCATTTTATTAATTTATTTAATTATTTATTCATTCATTTATTCTGCTTGGTCAAGTTTCAGGTCTTAAATGATATAGGCTTCATCACAATAGCAGATTTCTTCCCACTTTTGTTTATGTCTATCTGATTACGGTATCAGCATTATTTTTTCTTTCCAACTTTAGAGCTACAATACTCAGGTAAAGTCGGTCCCTGGGATTTAAAACTCAAAATAATTGAATAATATGACACCACAGTGGTAGAAACATGCTTCTATTAATATGAATAAAACAGAATCACAGGGTAAATGCACATATTAGACTTTTGTATGTGGTTGATTATAATGTATATATAATTGAGGATTGACCAAAGCATGGGTGCAATTAGGCATACAAGTTCTTCTTCATAATGGTATTTTTAGTGCCAAATATAGGTCTCCAAAAGGTTCTTGGTGGGTATACATATTGTGAGATGGCATGATTTGTCTTTGATGCACGCTACCCCATGTTAGAATGAGCTGTTTCATTTGGGGACACAACACAAGTAACAGCTCATCTGCTCTCATTTATAAGAGCTTCTATGAAGTAAAATTGAGAGTTGTGTTTTTTTCCAGCAAGTTCAATTATTTAGGGTAACCTCACTCCACATGGAACTCTTCCCCTAGATGTCCATGTTGTCCATATTGATAACTCCTACCTTCCAAAATGTTTGTTGACTTCTTACCTTCTGGTTGAGCCTGCATTTACCTCCTCTCCTTCCACCACACCTACCATCTTAATTTCTTTTTTCCTGCTCTACTTCTCTTATTTTTCATCACATATTTCTTTCAAATCTGCAATATAACTTACCTATCCATTATACTTATGACTTATTTGCTACTTTCTTCTTCAGGGTCAGATTTTCTTCTGTTTAGTTTATTCTTCAATTCCAAAGTGTTTGAGAAAAGAACTGGACCATAATAGGTACTGTGAAAGCTGATTATTTGAATTGGGGCATTCTCGTCATACCCAGTGAAAACAGAGTCAAGAGGGCAGGGGCAAAAAGCACTCAGGACACAAAACATTGCTCTCCCAAAATGTAATTCACTGCAAGTCTGGCTGCTGAAAGTGCCTGCTGTAACCTCACAACTGTTTTATCTAATAGTTGCCAAACAAACCTGCTACAAATCTAAGACTTACTTTACCCACCATCAGTCACCAGTCAGACGTTCCAGCTTCCCAGAACCTTACCAATGCTAATGAACTTTCTCAAAGAGCAATAATTAATATTTCTTTTTTTAGTAAAACCTCCAGCCTTCTCTTCATTCTTCAGACATGCTGAAGACCACTCGGTCTGAATATATGCCCTGATTTGCGAATTATTTATTTCTAAATTAAATGTTAAATTTAGAGATTCCTCTTTACATTTCTATTTTGACTTCAACAGTCCTCATTAATATTTCCTGAATAAATGAATAAAAATATCAGAATTAATGTGCATTTTGAAAAATCTCTTATGAAATATGACAGAAAAATCTGTTATACGCTTAGATCCTTAACTTGATCAGTATTCACCTTGAAATATGCTTTTATCTTATGTAGTCTGGTTTTAAAATGTTAAGGAAAAAAATACACTTAAAAATGGACCTAGTCATTTTTACTCAGCAGTACCATATCATTTGAAAAACAAAAACACTCTAAGGTGGTTTTGTTCCTTTGTTTTTGTTTGGTCTGATTTTCTTTCTTTTTTTTTTTTTTTTGCTTATGTGTTCAGCCTCTTTAATGTGAATAACTGCTCTTCGTTAAACAGTCTCACAGCATCCACTTATAGTCTCCAAGTTGCTCTCACATTCTTTGTAAAAATAAAAGCTCAGTTAAAGACACTACTTTCTTTTATGGTGCAATTTGTTTGCTCTTACACTGGTTCACTCTCTTTGCCATTTGATTTCCTCAATTGAGCAATTTATGACAGATTTTTAAGGTCTACTGTCCATTACAAAGAGCAGGTTTTAAAAACTCCATCATCATCAGCTTAATGAGTAAATGGCTGGAAGCTCAGCAGCTTGGTGGGGGGAGTGTGTGGAGGTTTGACTCTGACAGCCAACTTGCTGTTGCTGTAATTAATAATGAAATGTTAAGTCTCTTGCTTTTTATGTGGAGACAGGGAAAGTGACAGGGATTATGGAGAGAAATAAATTTACATTGTAGCTTTATAAAGCATCCATAGCTTTAGGAGCTCAATATATACAAAATTACTGTTAACATGACAGTTCCCCAAGAAAGTAGTTACAAAAATATTTAAAGCTCTGGGCTGAAGAATCAGGACATTGTAAGAATGGAGAGGAAGAAAAGACACTTTCTTGTATCCTGTCCCTCCTTTCCTGCTGCTCAATTTCTTTCTACTCAGCTGCTTATAAAAAGATGAAAGATATGCTAACTTGTCTCCCTGAGTGAATCTATTCAATGTCACCACCCACGCACTTTCCAACAGTGACAAAAGTTCCTATCACATTCCTCTTCTCAACTCACCTGATGGATCACCCAACTACACCCCACCCGCTATCCTAGAAAATATTATATTAAGAAGTAGAAGAACTGTGGGATTATTTGAATGAGACCTGCCAGTGAAGTCCATATCACTGACTATTAAGTCATGTTTACCACAAGCTAATAGCCCATAGCTCAAGCGGAACGCTCACCATCTCTAGCCTTGTCCTTCTTCCAAATCAGTGCATGTAGACATGTGCTATCTTTGCCTATTAGAAGTGATGGGTAGAACTCTTCATCTACCATTCATGGAATCTGAAGATGGTACAAGGTCATGATGGTCACGCTAGCTTGGTAAACTGGTGGAAAATTAAGTGCAGACTCTCATAATGAAACAAAATATTATCTGAACTGAAGCATCTTGGGTACTGTTCTCTGTAATTCTTCTCCCATTTGCTTATTTGTTCCTTCTTGTTTTCCCTGTGCAAACTGCATCATTGCTAATATGGCTACTTGATCAGTGGTAGTTCCTCATCTTCCACCATTATCCCATTTCAAATCTATCTAAAAGCCTTACTTGTGGATAAGAATAACCGAAAAAAATCAAATTAACTAGTTAGATAACTACTGTAACTATCTTTTATGCTGAATTAAAATAACATGATTAAGTGAAGACTAGCATACTTTAACTGTTCACCATCAACAAGGGTATAAGTTTAATTATGTATATGTACACGTAATTATGTATAGATGTATAGAATATAAACAAATTTAACCATTTTACTTATCCACATGAAATTGCTTCTTTTACATGCAGGATGACTTGTAAATACATTCATAATAGAGAAATTGCAGTGGTTCTGACAATCAGATTTTTGAATTATTTTATTTAGAACTTACTGGTAAAAATTTCATGAGGTAGTTAAAAACTAGATTAAAATTTGTAACTGAAAAATTTGTCATTTGGGTTGAATTACAAATATGAGTCTAAGTTTTATCTTCAGTGCCTCAGAAAGGCTGAATTCAATCCCTTTTAACTAGTTTCTAAAATTTCAGAAGTGCTAAATTTTCCCACAGATTTCTGAACTGGATTTAGGGCAAAGTACAACTTGAAATAGATGGATGGATATGAGAATTCACTAATGATCATTCTCGACTATCTGACTACAACATATTCTGAAAGACAAACTTGCCAAGTTAAATGATCAAAGGTATGCTATGAAATTCTTTTGAAGACCCAGATACCTTCTAGTTATAAGATACTAGTTAAAATAAGCACCTCTAGAAATATTAAATAACAAAATCAATTTTACTCATTTCTTATAGAAGAAAAATTGAGAATGTTTCAATGAATCTGAAAAACAATTTTATTTATTATCAATCTTTAACTCTTTATGTTAAATTTCTGCTTATGTGTCTGAGATGATCATCAAAGTATTCAAACAGATAAAATCATTTCAGAGTTGTATCAGTTTCTAAAATGACAAATTATTTTCGGGAAATAATATTTAGTTTTGGAGTGGAATGTGTGATAATCGAAAACAAAACATGTTTGATCAAAACTGAAGCCTCTGTGCAAAACACGGAGCATGGCAATGTGAGGCAGTGGCTCCTTGGAATTTGGTTCAGTTAGTGATGGCTGGAAGGAATCCTGGACCCGAGTTGCATAGACAAGGTGGATGAAAAGCATATGTAGCCTAAAACCCTGAGACTCCCTCACTCCTTCAGTGGTCTCTCTTTTTGAAAGTATTTGGGGAAAAATAAATGTGCCTGGATTAGGCCCTACCTTTTGGTTTTACTTGTATTTGACTACAGGTATGAACCCCACCTAGGGATTTTCCTTTCCTGACCTGGCAAGGCCTGGAAATTGACTATTAGTTGTCTAAACAACTACTCCCCGTTTCCCCCTCCTGTTGTTCTTAAGGAGTTTGTTATTTCTTCCTCTCCTAGTCATGCACAATGCCTCTTGCACAAGGCTGCTGTGTTCTCGGGGGAAATAAAACAATGCATCCCAAAACAGCAACATCTTAAAATCGTGGATGCGTAATATAACTGTGGCAAGTATCTAATGGAAAAAGACAAATAATGTAAACACAACAGCAAAGTCACTTCATGGATTTGCCCTAGTTCCTAGCAAGGGCCCCCTGTTTGCAGGTCTATTCGAAACTCTCTGTGCTCTCAATCACTTCAGAACATTTTATTTTTTTCCTCCATCAGACTCTCCTCCTCATTTCCTCCTCCTAACTAAACTGGTACATCCCTCAAGCAGGTGCTTCCACTCAACAGTGGAAGGAGGTTGTAGCACTTCCAATCAAGGCCTTCCATCTATATATCTATGTTTATCTATACCTGTATCTGTGATCTATCTAATTAGAAATAGAGACAGAGAGGGAGGTGAGGAGATTGAAATAGTAGTATAAAAAAAGAAGTTCCCAAAGGCAAAATATCCTATAAAGACTTTGCAGGCCCTCCATGGAGATACACGTTTTAAATTCTTATAAGGAAGAACTTAAGTTTTCCTTTCCATAGCTTTTTGCCTCCTAATCATGCCCACTGCTGTGTAAGAAAAAGGGGGCACATTACAGTGCCTTTCAAAACAACCCAGCTCCCCTTGGCCAGTAGATCTGAGGTTGCAGTATTTCTTTACCTTGGGCCAGATTAAATACTTAGGCAAGACTCTCTACCAACCAAACATTTCTGTAAATTGAGAGGGAGCTATAGATGAATGTATCCTTCCTTAGGTCTGGATAATCTGAGAATACTTCCTTCAGGTTTCATGTAGCAGAAAGAAAAATACTTCCATTCTACCTAAAGAGTTTCTTGCAACTGAGATTTGCCTATTGACAGTGTGTGCAAAGCTGAGAGAAAAGAGCCACATTCAGGATGTGGCTATCTCTCAACAAGGAACAAGGTGACCTAGAATAGTAGGAGTGGAGCCATTTAATCACTCAGGAAATAAATTTTGCCATTCCAGTTCTAAAACTCTAAGAGCATTTTTCGATAGGCATGTGGGGAAGTAGAATACTGATACCAATAGCTAAAATCAATCTATCTTATCCCAGCAACTATGGAGCCAAGTTGGGTTAGGACTATGGTCAGAGATAAACAATTAAGTCTGCAGAGCCTAACTAGGTAACTAATTGGTGAAGATGCATTTTGTAAGCTGTGACAGTTGTGTCTAAATCATTGAAAAAGTATGTTTCATCTACAATTGGTAGCCAATGCCGAATTCCAGATGTTTGATTTCCTAGTTTTCTTAGAGATAGTGATTTTTAAAATGTTTATATAGAAGCTGACAGTTAGACATATCTATACATAGAGTTGTACATGAATGTTCATAGCAGCTTTAATATTAGCCCCAAACTGGAAAAACCCCAAATTTCCCTCAAAATTATAATGGATAAAATGGATAAATTCAATGAACATTATTCCTAAAATGAGATACACTAAGCAATAATAAGGAGCTGACCACTGATGTACTCAATAAGAACAAATTTCAAAAAACAAGATGCTGAGATAAAGAAGACAGAAACAAAATAATGCACATGTATGATGTCACTTATACAAAATTTAGAAAAGATATATCCTGTACATAATGACAGAACCTCCATCAGTGGTTGCCTGTGATCAGGGATTGAGATGGTGAGGGCATGTGAGAAGTTTTCATATATGATGGAAATGTGCAGGGGATATACAATTGTCAATATGCATCATACTGTCTAATTTAATATATGTTTTATTGTATATGATAAATTGATTTTCTAAAAATCATATACACTAACTCAAACTTCTTATAGCTGAACACATTTTATATTAGGTGTTTATCTTATATTTACAGATGATGTCTAGTAAGCCTCAGAGATGTCCAGTGGGATCTGGGATTTGAACCCATGTCTATTTCAATTTGTCCTCTCATTCCCTTTTTACATTCAGCTTTTCTTTTAACATGCCCACATTTTCCCTATGACTAAAAAATGAAAATAAACAGAACCTTTATTTTTAAGCTCTTATCCTACTTTGCTTCTTCTGTGCAAATTTTTTAAAATAATAGTTGACATTTATTCCTTCTACTTCCATACCTCATCCATCTCTTGCATTCTAATGTCCATCACCCCCTTACTGAAATAGAGAAAAAAGTCACGATCATCCAGCACTGCCAGTGATTCTCAACTTTTTAAGTAATTGACTTTGTGTGTTTCTTCAGAACACTTTCTCCTCTTAAGATTTCTGGTTCCCTTTTATGTCTCCCACTGCCTTTCCATCATCTTTTTGTTTGACTCTTTAAACTCCTCCCTTTTTCCTTTTTTCCCATGGTCTCTTCAAATATATCTAAACTAATGCGTTCTGCATACTTATTTTGAGTATTTTTGTGAGGTCTAGTCCAACTGGCAAAATATGGTATCTCAATTTCCTACCATAAACTCATCATATCTCAAATTTAAATTTCTCATCTTTCTTCATGCAAAACACCTTGAACTTCAATTTAAACTTCATCATATTCTTCAATTTCTTCTCTCTTTGTTTTATTACACAGCTTATTTTGGCAAAATCTTAGGATTTTTTAATGTGTTTTTCATGTGCATCACCTCTCCATATCTTTACAATTATTCTGGCAAAAGTTTATATTGATAATTAGTCTTAGTGATTATAATTATGCCCTACTTTTGCTTTCTGTAATTCATCCTACACACTGTTGCTAAGTAATAATACCACTAAATCACAGCTCAGAATATATATTTTATTGCCTGCTGGTTTTCTATATCTATGAGAAAATTTATTTCGAATGAAAAAAAACGATTAAACACGTAAAGCTGGAGCACTGAAAAGCACCAGGTGTGCTAAGGGCCAGGGATAGATAGATGAAAGAGCATGCCCGCTATCTTTGTCTTAACATTCAAAGACCTGTTAATTTCCATTTCAACATGCACTTTTTGTCAATTTTGTTTTCCACAGATCACTTTCAAGCATCCTTTGAAATAAACCCACTAAGATCATTTTGCCCAGAGCTTGCCCGTTTTGTACCTCTGCTGAGATTTTTCTCATTTCCTGGAATTATGACAATATTAAGCATAACTGTAAAAATTCTAAGTGTCATTTGTATAGTGTAATAGTAGATCCAGTCCAACACTGCCTAGCAACTTGCACACACCATTGCATTTCACCCTTGCAACAATTCCATGTGGTTGGTTCAGCTATGTCTACTTCACAGATGAAGATATGGAAACTCAGAGGTGTTACATAACTTGCTACCGTCACACAAGTCACAAAATCAAGCCAGTCTGTCACCTAAGAAATCCTAACCCTTCTCACTTTAATACACTACCTTTATTATCCTACATTTAATTTATTTTTTATACAACTTTGTTCATGACAATCTTTGTTCCTTTAGTTGGAAGTTTTTATTCCTCAATTTCCCAAGGGGAAGATTTTACAGGTTAAACGTTTTTGTCACTTGTCACTTAGCAACTTAACATTCTAGTCATTTATGCACAAGTTACTATCTCTACAAAATGTGAACAATTTGAAGATGAAAAATTATGTATCATATATCTTAAATCCATCCCACTGTAGCTCTTTACAGGGAGACAGTACTCAGTAAATATTTGTAAGAATCATGACATGCAAATGTGCATATTCTGTCTTATTAGAATATAATTTAGAAAATGTACTTGACAAATGAAAAGTAGCATCAGATTATTCTTGTTCCAAATATTCCTCCTTGGTAAACACTAATACCTGGACTAATTTTTGAAGACTGTACTTCTCAGTGGGGGAGAAGAAGTGGGAAAAATTCTTTAGTGTGAGAATATCTTAGGGGAACAGCTATAGTTTTAAAAAATACTGCTTTGTTTTATTCCTGTTATTTCTCTTTTATCAAAATTTTAAATTTGTACTTATAGTTGATATAAAAGGATATGTATCTTGAGAGATCATGTGTCAAAATAATTGAAGGACATTTTTTGTCATTTGTGTGAAATAGAAGAAGTGTTTTAAGTGTAGAAAATGATACCTATGTGTGATAGAAATAAGTTTATATCCTATGAGCAGGTAACAAAAAAGAAAAAAAAAACTAGCTGGACTTTTTCTCTTAGGATTATATTTTCTTTGGATGACAATGATAAAAGTTCTCTCTACTATGTAAATTTGCCAGTCTAAGAATAGAGTGTATTATCTTACTGAGTTTCATCTTGCACCCTCAGCATCTATTATTCCTATTAACTCCAAGTTCAACCTCCACCTTGCCCTTTTCTTCTTCTAATTGGCAATGGGCAAATCATTTCTGGTCAAGATCAGGAGCTCATCTGTGGCTCTAACCTTGACCATCAATCCAACTCAAGAGTGAATCCCATTAGCATCAGACTAATAAATGCAAAGATCCAGTGAAGAACAATAATGAACTTTGGCTCACACATCAATCTTTGGCACCTCAGAAACTAAGTGTAATGAACAGTAGGTCACAACCTATAGCTTTCATAAAATGTCCCAGTTGAGATAGCATATTACACATTTAAAACAGTAATGGTGCCAGGTCATTCTGTCAGACATTTGTCAAGTAAGGATGTGCTCCTACACATCTAGCTCTTCTAGTAAACCAATATTCAGACACATAATGGCTGCTTGTATCTTCAATTATCTCCATCCTATCACATTCAGAGCTGCTTCCAGAGAGTCCAGTACTACAGCCTTAGGCTATGGGATGATGATAGCATACCCTACAAACACATGAGAGCAACCTCAAATCTTCTAAATTGTGCCAGTTCTGGGCTTCTTTTGCATAATCATTTATCTGAAAGGACAAGAAATAATTTGCAATTTCAGAATGTGATGCAAAAGACACAGATATTGCTCAACTTCAAACTACTGAGGGGAAGAAAAATAAGATTTTGGTTAATGTTCTATGGTTCAAATATAGTAAAGTCATCCTGGATTCCTGTCCTGACCTATTCTTTCCTTACCATTTAATTACTTCTTTTCACCTACTTTTCTCTTTTTTTTTTTTTTTTCGAGATGGAGTTCCACTCTTGTTGTCCAGGCTGGAGTGCAATGATGCGGTCTTGGCACACTGCAACCTCCGCCTCCCAGGTTCAAGGGATTCTCCTGTCTCAGCCTCCCGAGTAGCTGGGATGACAGGCATGAGCCAACATGCCCAGCTAATTTTTGTATTTTTGTAGAGACCAGGTTTCACCATGTTGGCCAGGCTGGTCTTGAACTCCTGACCTCTCGGCCCCCCAAAGTGCTGGGATTACAGGCTTGAGCCACCGTGCCCAGCCATTTTTCTCTTTCACTTATTTATTTTAGCATCCTTCTCTCTTCTTATAGCTCATCTTTTATATGTGCTTATTTGAAAATGCACAATATAGTTGTTTTTGATAGACTTAAAATGATTTCTGCGGCATGCTATGAATATGTAATACCCCCACAATCCACCCCACACATATTTTGAGAATTTTTATCCTTCTTTGTAAAATTAGCCAGAAGTCCCTCTTTTAACACATGTTCGCTTCCTCATTCTTTGGTGAATTTTGTTTTTCCCATAAGACGTATTTTAACACGGGAATGAATAAATGTATGGGGAACATGAGAGAACCTGTTTAACATCCTTTTTATACGCCATTGGGGATGATAAAGAGCAATGGTCATTTACTTAACATCTTGGTAATTAGCCGCTTGGAGGTTGCAAGGCCTGTAACCAGTCTTTTTGATGCATCCGCCATTTCTGCAAGTGGCTGGAGTGGAGGTACAAATGAAGCTGAATAGATGAGAGACTCTGCAACTGTATTCACTGATAGAGTAATTGCCTGCTTTGTGAATAGGATGCATTCTGGAAGTATATCAAATATATAGAGCAAATACTCAAATAGAATAGAACAAGAAATGGCTATAGTAAAACAAACTTTTCCTGATATTTACCACTTTTTATATTTTACTCAAAGTGTATATAAGTTTTTTTTATATGCAAGATAAACTGATAATTTCAACACAATCTGCACTACTTTGAAAAATGTACACCAGGGCCTTTCATGACTTGTATACAGTTCTGGCCAATCTCTTTATCTCAAACCGAAGAAAGGTATGATGCAGGCAGTAGTTTTTTCTTAGTGCCTCATAATATCTAATAGCAGAAAGTGAGCCGCATAGCAGAGCACATTAGTTTTTATGTATCTACAGGACAGAAGGGCCACTTAGCTGATGACTCCAGGTTTCCTTTGATATAATCTAATGTTCCTATGACCTCAAAGACTGAACACATTTCCCTAAGTGCTTCACTTAGCACCCAGGAGCAACTTGGAGTCTTCACAGAATAAAATCCATTATTTTAATGTAGATTAATACATGTGTACTTATATATATGCAGGTCTATAATAGTTTACTCCTATGTAAGCTTTATTAAAAGCATTGGTATGTTTTACACAAAAAGTTAATGTGAATATTAGAAAAAAAGGACAATATTAAAGCAGTTTGTAGAATTTGTCCCCCCC